>NC_000005.10:164852233-165155263 GCF_000001405.40 Homo sapiens
TTCCTAGACTTTTCTATCCAATCTTATGAATCTAAATTTTTCTTTAGGGTTTATGTAATTCCCTATACCTCTGGCAAAACCTCCCATGACTTGACCTATCAATAGGTATGTAGAAATGATATGCTAATTTTGTGTGAAATTACAGTAGATATCTATGGGACAGGCTACTTCACCATTTTTCTTCTCGAAAATCACCCCTCTATTTACAAGGCCGTAGCTCTATTTTATAAGATCCTATCCTTAGTGTGCATAGTTGACTGAACCAAAGTTACATGACTCAAAATTAGCTAAATTAATTATATTGCAGAAACTTGGAATTGGAATTTAATATTAGTTAATTATTTTTATTTTATTATGGGTTGACTATAGAATGGCAGGTGGAAAAAATGGTGAGACTTTGAGTGTAGAAAGAGAAAGATGAGAGAGAGAGGAGAAGATGGAAGAAGAAAAGAGAAGAAAAAGACCAGGAGGAGGAAGAAGAAGAAGAGAAAGGGAAGAGGAATCAGAGGAGAAGAAAGAGTAGAAAGAAAAAAATAGAAGCAAAAAAAGAGAAGAAGTGAGAGAATAAAGTTGAGTAGAATAGATCAGAAGACAAGGAAAAAAGGAAAGAAAGGAGAATACAAAGAGAAGAAATAAGCAGCTACACAGGGTCAGAGTTGAGGGTTTTGAAGAGTTTCTTGCTTTTGGCTGTGTGACTGTGCCTGGCTTCCGTGAAACATCCTGCAACTCATATAAAATATCTTGCTCTCTTGCTTAAAGTGAATCCCATTATCTATAGTCAAAGAATGTTACCTAATGTAGAGATGTAAATTAATTCTTGAAACGTGGTCACTAAATTCAGGAAAGTCATTATCTACAAAGGTAAACAAATGCTTGGTGCCAAAATATAGATTGTATATAGGCTATTGGAGTTAGAGCAGAAGATCATTGAAATCTGAAGTAGCTGAAAAGATTTGGAAGGTAATATGATCCTTAAAATTCAAGAAACATTTCCCTATTTGGAGAGGAACAAAATGTTCATTTTAGGAATGGGAACTATCATGAACAGAGGCATGGAGGTAAAACAGAGCAAGGAAAGGAAGAAGCACTGTTTAACTGGAACATATATATGTGCACTGTGAGAGATGAATTTGTATATTTTGTGTGGTATGAAGAAAGGCTTTAGAATCCAGCATTAGATTTGATGCAGTAGACATTGTTGGGGGTGGTGTATTTCTTTCTCTGCATGTTTTAAAACAGGTAATGGCATGATGAAGCATACTTCTAGGGAGATTAGTCCAGTAAGACAGTACAGGATTGATTAAAAACCCAGAGCCTAGGTGGAAGAGATGGATTAAGAGGCTGCATCAATTAAGAGACTTTCGCTTTAGGTCACAGAAAAACCTAACTCCTACTGGCTTACAGAGAGAGGGAGAAGGGGCAGGAAAGGAATTGAATTTAAATATATCAGAATGCATAACTAAAACATCCATGGATAGAGCTGAATTCAGAAAATGACAGCATTTGGGGCTGAACTAACGTCATTAGAGCTAAGTTTTCTCTGGCATCTGTCTCATCTTGTGCTGGCCTAAATCCACATCTCCACATCATCACCTGTTAGTTCGACACGCTCTTACCTGGGTGAAATGATGCCTACAGAACTCCAGCATCAATTTGCCCAAGTTTAATGTCCAGCAGGAAAGAACAAGCACCTTTCTAGACTCATCTCTCAGTCCTAGCTATTGTTCTGCCTGGCCAGCGTAGAGCACAGGCTTATCCCAGAATAAGCCTTCTGGTCAGGAGGATACAATGCTTTGTACATTGTATGGAATACAACGCATTTGTCACATCCAAGCCATGTATTTGTCAACATGGCATAGAAAGGTGGGATATTCAACTTCGATTTATTGCTCAATGCTAGTCAGTTTATCCTACAGTCACTTTTCATAATTTCAGTGTTTTATAATAAGGGAAGCAACACCATTTGTAAGATGAAAATATGTAATCGAGTTTTCAGTTCCAATAATAAATTTAAAAGCCACAATTTTAGATTACGGATTTTTGGTATAGTTTTATTGTATTAAGTATTCCAGAACACAAACACACTGCATATGACAAATGTCTTCTCATGGCGAACTTTTACAACATGCGTAACCCCTTGAAGTCAGGAATCTATAATAGAAATACTGATGCTACCTTAACTCTTCTAAAGTGAACTGTGCTGCTGTGATAAGAGGAAAATGTATGTTTGCCTTTGGAAGACTCATCATCTTTCCAAATAATGATTAGTAGGTGGCAGGACAATATAACACCGAATCTTATGCAAAGATAGCCTGGATTTGAAATATGAATCTTTTGCCAGTGCAAGAGATGAAGGTGACAGTTGTAATCTCTTCAGATTCATAACTTACTAAGTTGTAGGCAGGTTAGCAGTGATTGATCACCCTCAGGCGGGTTGTTAGTGATTTAAAAATCATTTCATTGCATTACACAAATATGAAATTTAAAAGTGTTAAACTGTTTTTATCTCTAAGCAAATCTTGGGAACAGGCTTACATCTGGAAACTAAATGTATATGAGGGCATGCTCATTGCGATATATACCTCTCATGTAGCTTATCATTTTCCACAGTGGATATTACAGAGGGGATTGTTTTCAGTATGAAAAGTTTTCTGTTATTTTGAGGATACCCAACATTAGCTACAGAATGAAGTACAGCAAAGAATTATAGGTTTTCCTATGAAATAGTGACATGAAATTTGTCACTGCCTTTATAGTCAACAAAGAACATTTTGAGATGAAATTATTCAGGGTATAGTAGCAGAGGCAGAAAGGCTGAACTTACTCTCTTCAATGAAACTAAGATACCATTATGGCCTATTATAGCAAGGGGTGTTTTCCACTCAAAACCATCCAGGGAAGGCATAGGAAGACAGCTGAACAATGCAGATGAAGGAGTTCTCAATTCCAACTTTGTATAGGCTTCACCTTTTTATCACCTAGAGACAGCATTATGAAATTGATGTAGCTTACGACACAACAGAAGCAGTGTCTCTGGAAATACCACGGATTATTTCCTTTTACCTCAGTTGCCACTCTTTCTTCCCATATCTCTGATTCTCTTGCAACAGAAATTTTCCGGTGTTTTTGTGTAACGGATCAGGGTTGAATGGTCAGTTTAGCTTCTACCCCTTTGAAGGCTTACACGAGGGATGTTACTACTCACTGGAGATTCGCCTCCTTAAACTTCCAACCTTCTATATCCGCAGACTCTAGTAGGTCTGCAGAATGTGAATCGAAACATGAGGTAAAGCTCAATGAGCTGTAGAAACTTACAAAGTGAATTATTCTCATGACATTTATCCATCCCACGGGAATCATGTGACCATGACCATGTCTGGCTCAATAAAAGAAATATTTTCACAATGACTTGTGTGTTTCAAAAATACAGTTTTAAGGGTGTGGTGGCATACACCTGTAGTCCCAGCTGCTCAGGAGGCTGAGGCAGGAAGACAGCTTGAGGCCAGGAGTTGGAGGCTGCAGTGAGCTATGATTATAGCACTGTACTTCAGCCTAGGCAACAGAGTGAGACCCCATCTCTTTAACAAATGCTGTTTTTGGCCAGGCGCGGTGGCTCACGCCTGTAATCCCAGCACTTTGGATGGCCGAGGTGGGCAGATCACGAGGTCAGGAGTTCAAGATCAGCCTGGCCAACATAGTGAAAACCCCATCTCTACTAAAAATACAAAACATTAGCCAGACTTGGTGGCAGGCACCTGTAATCCCAGCTACTTGGGAGGCTGAGGTAGGAGAATCACTTGAACCCGGGAGGTGAAGGTTGCAGTGAGCCGAGATCGCACCATTGCACTCCAGCCTGGGAGACAGTGCGAGACTCCCTCTCGAAAAAAAAAAAAAAAGCAATTTTTATGCAAAGCTGGTTCATTCTTGGCTTAACATGTGGCAGAAGAGAGAAGACACTACTCAGGATAGATTAAAGATAAAATTTTATAGGGGACACAACAAAGTAGAAGTCAGCAAAGAGCCAGTGTCTCCCCACCCACCCAGACTTTCATCAGCTGCAAAGAGGTTCATGACAGACAACCATGGTCTGCAGGGCAGGCCTTCAGGTTAAGTTCCAGGGAAGGAAATATGACCCCTGTTGTTTTCTTTTCTATTAGGGCAAGCACTGGAAGCACCTGGTCAGTGGGGGACAAATACATCATTTGCAGTGTCTGGCAGCCTGGAGTTAGATGCCCACTGATCCTATGAGGTGGCTGGGAAAGCTTTCATTTTTTTGTCTGCGGAGAGAGAAGCTACCAGCCTCCGGGTGGAAAGTTGTGAGAAAGTTCTGGTCCTGGTGAAGTGATTTTTCTGGCATCCTAGAGAGAGCATTTAAGGGCGTTTCAGAGCCATCTTTTTTTTTTGTCACTTCACAACAATGAATTCATTTCTCCCTACTATCATCCTCCCAATACAAGTTGTCCCTCATGTCCATTTGACACTGTTGTGTAGGAGAAGATAGAAGGAAGTCCATATACGGTAATCTTATCTCATCTGTTAAAATTCTGCATAAGTCATGCCAGACACTTTGGCACTGCCACGCTTAATTTAAAAATTCTTAAATTCTTAAATTAAGCGTGGCAGTGAACCCGGGAGGCGGAGCTCGCAGTGAGCGTCGATCGCGCCACTGCACTCCAGACTGGGTGACAGAGCGAGACTCCGTCCGTAAAAAAATAAAAAATTTAAAAAAATTAAAAAAAAAATTCTTAAGTTCTACATTTGGTTTGCATCTGAGACCAGAAAAACCGGCAGTCTTCGCTCTTCTTAGTAAAACTACTGTTTACAGGGTTGCTAAAATTGAGACTCACCACTAGAGTTTTATTTTGTTTTGTTTTATTGTTCATTTGTATTTATTTTTTAAACAAAGCATTCTAATTTACCTGGTTAGAAAGGCACAAAGCAAAGTGATTATGTAAATACATGCCCATTGGCAGCCATTCTGCCTTTCATATCTCCAGCAGAAGACAGATGTGAAAGATGTGAAGTGGGCTTTATTTTCTTTTTTTCTAATCCTTTCTCCATTACTTTTTCTCTCTTTTTTTTTTTTTTTTTTTAATTTTCACGCAGACCTCCTGGATATTCCAAATCCACCAAACACACTAGAGCCTCAGATCCTCTGTTCTTCCTCTTTCTTTTCTGGCCAAAATGCCTTTCCTGCAGATACGAGCATTGCTTACTCCCTTGTTCACTCAAATCTCTGCTCAAAGTTCATCTTATCAGTGAAGCTCTACCATTTAGTAGGTGTACATGGGAAGAAAATAGATGACATCAGTGCATCTAGGTTAGAAAACCAAAGGAATAGTAATAAAAGTGACTAGTGATACTAAATACAACAAGTTTCCAGGGAAGTAATCTTAGAAATATTAGACAAATTGAATTTGAAGGCAGCCTTGTAGGCAGCAGGAATTCTAGGTGTTGGGCATAGAGAATGGTCAGGTCCAGAGGTGTAGATTAGGAATCTGTCATATGTGGGTTAAAATCATTCATATGCCAGTATAGAGTGAAGGAGTTATGAGAGCCAAAGATAAACACTTCAGAACAGAAGCATTCAAGGAGTATAATTTCAAAGAATGGAGAAGAGAAGAGAAAAGGAAGCCAGTCATTTGCACAGAGGAGAATGACTGAAATATTGCAGACAAAAATTAAAGAGTATAGCCACACATATGTGAGGAAGGAAAGTTTCAAGAGGAAAGTAACTGTCAATAGTGTCAAATAATGACTGAAAACAGGCCTTTGGATTTGTAAATTTGTAAAACCTATGAGAGACAGTAAATTTAGTAGGGAAATAGTTGACATCATCTGACAGTGAAGGTGGTAGGATTGACTAAATTGGAAAGAGTTGCTACATCTAGAGCAGTCTTAGCAGGAGCAAACTTACAGATAAGGTTGAATATTATGAATTTAGAGTGAACTCATACAGGCAAGAAATATAATTTTGTGCTTCAACATTCAAATGGGGAAAAATAGTGTTTGTGTGTACAAGAATGAAAATTGATGCAAAAAGCTGGTAGAGCAGGAAGGCAATAAAAGTAACGATTTATACAAAATTGTTCTTTTTCAGAAAAATTCTGAAAATTTCAGTTTTATTTTGTTCTTTTCAACTAAGTTCCCAGGATTGGGGACAATATAAAGCTCATACTTTTTTATAGAGCCTACAGTATTGAGCACTTTGGCAGGTACATATTTAGCATTTAGCATTCTTAATGTTCTAACTTTATAATATGAATGACATTTCATTAGAATAAATATGGTTGTATAGCTGAGGTTATCTTTCTCAGTGTTTTAGACTATCTCAGGGTAATTAGATTACTTTCTTGTACTACCAGACTCTAGGTGGAGTAGTCTATGTAATGAATATATTTTTTAAAATGTCTTCAAGTATTCAAAATTTTAATATGCAACCATGACTATTAATAATAATAATTATTAAAACAAATAAAACAACATTACAACAAATGTTGTTTATATTGGTGCTTATATTGTGCCAAGCACTTTTCAAGATTTATTTGTTGTTGTTTTGTTTTGCTTTTTTGGTCTTAATTTGTATATTCAAAACAACCCTTTGTAATGGAGAAAGCTTAGAAGTGGGTAAACTGAAGCCTAGATTCGGTAACTTATTTATGGTCAACCAGCTACCAAGTGACTGAGCGGAAATGGTATATCACATCTCACCTATGAGATGTGTCAAACACACACACCCACCCCCACATTTTGCTACCCCTACTGATAAAGATCTTGGGTTATTATAATGGATATACCTTTAATTTGGTGAGGAACCCCTTCATTATCTAAAACTGAAAGTTGTTGGACTGATTTTACGCATCAGCTAATTAGTTTCTAACTTAATCTCTTCCTTGTAGCACCTTCTCAAATGCAACTAGCCTTGAAATCCCATCCCTCAACTCTACAAATTCATTGGGTGATTTTTTTCTTCTCAATTATCATAAGTGACCATTTTACTAAATATTTTTCCACTACCTAATATATGTCACCATTTTTCCATCTTTTGACAACAGTTTCCTCATCAATCTCTTGGACTCTTATAATAATTTCTTGTCACTTATGCCTGGTTTCAAAACCAATACCATATATTTGAGGGGTTTTTTTTGGTAAAATTTTTGCATTATTCAAACAGTGCCACAAAAATGCTGTTTAACAAGCTAGCCCAAAATTGAATGACATGCTTAATTACTCACATAGTTTGGGATGGCTGTGTGTTCACTGATCCAGACTGCCAAATCTCCTAGGTTTGGCTGTCAATGTAGGATGGGTCCAAGTTTCTCATTCTGCCTTGATAAACAAGTTAACTAGGACATCTTCTCCTAGTGACAGCAGAAGAACAAGAAGCCATGCTCTGTAACAGAATTACACTCCAAGCTGATATTGTTTCAGGTCTGCTAATAACCCATTGATCAAATAAGTTCATATGGTTATTCCCAAAGTTTAGTGGGCAGGGAAGTATACTTCACCCATATATAGAACCATGCCAAGTGTGTGGACACATAGCAATACTATAGGAGACAGAAGAATTATGACCAATGTTTGATTTTCCATAATGAGATTTTACCAAAAATACAAAGGTTGTCCAAAGGTTGACAAAGTAGATAAGACAATCAATAACTCTCATGATGTTGACTTTCATTTTAAAACATAAATCAATTCTACAGCTCTTGAATATTCAATTTAGAAACTATGAACTATGGAATATAAATTAGCAAAATTTATGTCTAACTGTTGAATTGAGGAGAGAACATACAGAGAAAACAGTGCTCAATTTTAACAAAATACGTATTTTCGAAATGTACTTTTTAAAATTTTTTCACACAATATTCAGGATCTGGAGCAGTATATAGAACATAGCACACTCTCCTTTCTTTCTTTCTTGTTTCTTTTCTTTTCTTTCCATTTTTTTCCTTTTTTGAGACAGTGTCTCACTCTGTCACTCAGGCTGGAGTGTAGTGGCACGATCTTGGCTAACTGCAACCTCTACCTCCCAGGCTCAAGCAATCCTCCCACCTCAGCCTTCCGAGTAGCTGGGACTACAGGGGTGTGCCACTATGCTTAGCTAATTTTTTTGTATTTTTTATAGAAACGAGGTCTTGCCACATTGCCCAGGCTGGTCTCCGAACTCTTGGGCTCAAGTGATCCACCTGCCTTGGCCTCCCAAAGTTCTGGGATTACAGGTGTGAGCCACTGTGACTGGCCCCATAACACACTCTTAATAAGGATATATTAACTTGAATTTTACTTAAAGGGGCTTCATATTTTGTTTTGCATTGATTTAAAAAATAAGTCTCATATAGGGACTATTCACTCTTTTCTTTTTAATATAAACATTATATATTTGCATGGTAAATTAAATGCAAACCATACAAAATGTGAAATTCCCCACCCCAAGTTTAACTCCTTAATTATTGCCACTTTTTACAAGCTACTGCTTGTTGTACTTTAACACAATGTATTTTTAAGCAATTTTAAAGACTGCAGAGAAAACAAGCATTGTTTTTATGCACTCTTCCTAAACAAGCTCTGCCCGTCAAAGATACTGAGTTGATGTCAGATAAAATGTCCCTTCATCAAAAGGCTCCTAAAACCTTTCAACCCCTCTCTTTTTCTCTGTGCTTGAGTGGTTACAGGATTTACCTTCTGCTGCTGGAGGCTATAGTTGGTAACTTACTCCATAGTCAAGATGGAACTTGTGGGTTCTTAAATCCTATGCTTCCAATTAATAACTGTTCTGTATTAAAGCCAAGATGTTCATTCCACTGAAAAGGTAACAGCTGCTCTTGGTGCGCCGTGTATGTCTAATCCTTTGGTGTACTCCCTGCCTTGTTAGAATCACACTGCAACTCCCTAGCTGCAGCTCAGAATAAACCCAAATCTGGTCCCATTCTTATTCAGAGACTTTTTCATTCCAATAGCTCCTTCATTCTGGCTTGCATTCTCTCAGCTACTTACCCTGAAGTTCTGACTACATATTCTTTTATAAAGGATTTTTCTTCTGAGTTTCATTAAGGTTCAGGAAGAACTCAGCTATTTTCTGTGTCCTTATATTGATTTTTTCCTTATTTCTTCATAAAGAGCAGTAGAGTTGGAAAAGACTCCAGGAAATCTAGGGAAGGTTGCTGGCCTTCCTGTCTAACACTTCCTTGACTTTACAACTAAGAAGGGTTGTGTGGAGAGTGGGCACGAGGTTGCTATTTGTCAGTAGGGCCCACATTTTGGAAAGAGAACTGAGTGTAGAGAAAGAAATACTGAGGACAAACTAGAACTTGCCAGCACCTCTGTGCCTGTTGCAGCCTCTAACCAAACCTTTCAGAGCATCATTTCCTTTGCACCTTCTCTTTTGTCCATCTCAGACTTGCAAACATACAGGCAAGGAGATTCTCAGAAATGTATTATAGTTTCCAGTGTAATCAAATTAACAGTAGAACAACACTTCATCATTAGAATAAACAGAGAAGTTTAGGATAAGCATTCAAAGACATGAGCAAAATAGAAGAGATAATGATAGCAGTTCTGCTGATGGTTGCAAAAAAAAAAAAAAAAAAAAAACAGAAAACAAAAGCAGCATGATGGGAAATATTGTTTAGCTTGATGTTTTATATACTCGTAGGAAGAGACCTTATCATAAGATGTTACATATACTTCTAGGAAAAGTGATGAACATGACAAAAATGAGAGGAAAAATGCTGGACTTCACCCCATTTTTTTTAGAATGTAAATTAGATATAAGGATATTTAATTATTATCTTATTTAGATTACATAACATAGGATGCTATATTCTGTTTTGATACTTAGCTTATCTTAAATGTTTCTAAACAACTTTATGTTATTTTTAGTTTTGCTTTTGCTTTCCCTTTTTACTTTGAAATTTTCTGATCTTATCAGGTCTGATTCTTGTGAGTTTGCTTCAAATCTCTACCAGGGCTTTTCCGAGGTTCTTGAGCACAGGCCCAAGATTTTCATCAGGATATCTTTAGTGCATGTATTGTTGGCTGGCACATAAGGGATATTTAATACTGACTTTATTAATAAAATTATAATAAATGCATATCAGCATATTTTAATTTTCTGAGCCTCAATTATTATATGCAATAAGTATCTATAATACATAACACATAATTCTATAAAAGTTAGTTGATTATACTGATTAATGACTAAAAATGTGGATAAACATATAGGACATAAGGCAGAACCTGATTTAATTTCCAACAAATTCATTAATTAGGAATTATTTACTCTCTCAACAGCAGGAATACCAATGTCATCATAATCTACTCAACCATTTCAAGTTATATAGCAGTGCCTATTTTTTTCCGGAATAAAATAGAAGTTGTTTTAAAATATGAGAAAATTGAAACATGATAATTCAAATATTAAACTGAGTAAATATTTAAGAAAATAACATATTTGAAGCTTTTGGAAAAAGCTATAACATTTAATAAAACCTACAGAGTATCAATAAATCTTGCTTTTTAAAATAATTTACTCCAGGTATGACTGGCTTAGCAAATAGAGTATTTAAATGAGGATATTCTAGTTGCAAGTGAAATTCTAGAGTTTGCAACATCCAAATATTTCAATTTGACAGGTGGAAGAAAATAAATGCTATTTTTACATGCAACATAAATGTTTTCATACAATCAGATAAGTAACCCTCACAAATCCTTCCTGAAAACTCCAATCAAACTGGAGGGACATAGAAACAATTTCAACTGCTAACATTTGCTGAAGCTATTGTATTCAGAAAGGTCTAAGAAGTTACAAAGAAAAACATAGGTAATAAATTTCAATCCATTTCAGTTAACAGTTAGAAAAAATCATATAAATTAAAATTTTAAAACTATTCAAGGAAAAACAATTAAATAGATGGATGCAGTAAAGCATGACTTAAATTTTTTGTGTCCATATGGGTGTTGGGCATGACATATTATGATAAAAATCAGATTAGAAGTCAAAGAAATTTTTATTTTAAAAATGAGAAAAATAACTTACATTATGTAATTGCCTTTTCCAGTTTTTGGCCTCCTGCCTTCTTCCTGCCATGCTCCAGTAAACTGCATTTTAGAAAAGGGCATAGTATTATAGCATTTCACAATATAACAAGATTACATATTTGTAGAATGCTAACCATGGCATACTTCTCAACTATTGCATGTAATGAGTTACATTCTTCTTTGAAATCTTTAGTGTGTATTTTTCCTATTAGCAAGACCACAAACTAAAATCTTGTGGATAAATATATAGATGATTGGCATTTCTGTAGTGCAAGTAGATGCTACAAGATTAGAACCAGAACAGAAAGCGAATAATAAGAAAGTGTATTTATAAGATGCTTGGATAATGTTTGAGAAATTCAGTATTAAATTTTAGTTAGAACAATCTTAGGTTGATGATGTATAATCATTCATTTTAGATGTAAATCTGTTACATTAAAATCAAAATTTGACCAGCTATGACAAACTTAGCAAGTAGATTGAATTTGGGAAAATTAGACTGGGATTTAAGCACATTAAATTAAATTGAGTAGGTAGAAACAATGTTGGAAATGCTGATGAATTGCCTTATTTGTTTAGTAAACATGTTGGAAATCATATTGAGTGTAAGGAAAGACCATGAAAGTATTAGTAAATCTTCTTGTGCTTGAGAAAATAATCAATTGATAACTCAGTGACTTCACATTCTTTCAAACTGAAAAGCATACGTTTTAAAAACCAATTTAAAATGGCCACCAAAGCTTTTAAATAACATTAACTACCTTAATTTTTTTAGGTCGCTGTTTTATTTAAAATTAAAGGTTCTATATGTGTGACGGTTAATTTTATGGGTCAACTTGGCTAGGCCACGGTACCCATTTGGTCAAACATTATTGTAAATGTTTCTGTGAAGGTATTTTTGGATGAGATTATTAATTAAATTGGTAAGGTTTGCATAGAGCAGATTATCCCCCATAATGTGGTGGACCTCATCCAATCAAGTGAAGGTCTTAAGAGGCAAAGAAATGATGATTCTGCTTGCACAGTGTCTTAGGACTCAAATAGCCCTCTTCCCTGGGACTGCAGTCTCACAGCCTACCCTGCACATTTTGGACTTGTTAAACCTCCACGATTACATAAGCCAATTCCTAAAAATAAATCTCCCTTTTTATATGCATCCTGTTGATTTTGTTTTTCTGGAGAACCCTGACCGATACAATATGCTGTCAAGATACTACGGTTGTTTTCTGCAAACTTTGCTTTACCATTGTATTGAAGTCACCTTGAAAAGTTACAGGCAGTTTGATAGAAGAAATAAGACCTAGTGTTTAACAGATGAGTAGGATGTATTAGTATTATAGCTTACAATAATTGATTATATATATTTAAAAATAGCTAGATGAGAATAAGAAAAGGCAAATATTTAAGGTAACAGCCCAATTATACTGATTTGATCTTTGCAAATTACATGAATGTATTAAATTATCACATGTACCCTAAAACTATGTACATACATTATGATTCAACAAAAAATAAAACTAAAAAAGTCAGAGTCAGATTGATGTTATTTTTTACTATGATTGACATTATTGTTTGAAAAAAACAGGGTAGGAGTTTATGTATGAGTAATTTGTGAAAATTTTTCAATTTCATTATGGAACCATGTTTCTTATATGGGTAAATAGTGACATTTGATAGAGTTGGATTACATGGAGGCAGATAGGAATTATCTATGATAAGAGGATATGGTTTCAGATGATTTAATCTTATTTCTAAATCACCACAATGCTGAAACTAAAGTCTTAATCTAAATAGAATTTTAACTATGTGTTGAAGAAATAAATTTGATTGTTTAACAGATAGAATTCTTTTATCTTGTAAACTTTACTTAGGTTTAGAAGAAAAATATGATACATTTATTCTTAAATTTTGTCAGGTTTCAAAGCATATTGCTAATTTCTTCCAGTTAGAGGAAACTAACAAACATTCTTTTTCAGCATACAGTTCAACCAAGTCAGGGAGATCAAAGTTTTTCTGTGTTTAAGCCACTTCACTGAACAAAAACTAAACATTTCACCTGTTTCTGCTTGCCCCTTCACCAAAACTTCACCTGAATAAAGGGATGAATAACAATTGCCTTTGATCATACATCAAAAAAGGACATCATATGTAAATTAATAATTTCTGTCTAAAACAAAATATTGTAATTTGCATATATAACCCATGGTGACTATTAAATATTCTCTTTTATTAATTTAGGTGTCCTTGATCTGCTTGATGAATTACCCTGTATATTTTACACATTTGCTACTGAATAACAAAAAAATCAGAATACTTGAAAATGTCCTCAAAAGATAAATATTTTCATCAGCACATGTTGAGTGCTCCCTATGTGGCTAGCACTAAATGCTGAGTTACTTCATCAAATAAATTCGCCAACTAATTCTATGATGTCAGACTATTCTGTATACCACGTAAACATTCCCCTTCAAAGAATCAATGAAACTATCTATCTGGAAAGGTATCCCAGCCATACTTTAGCTCTTTTATTTACTAAAAATAGTTATTTTATAGCCCATTATGTTTCCAATCACATGCTCAAATCAAAATACTCTTTTATCCTTTTTTCCTTTCACAAAACAAATCATCAAACGCTGTTATTGCAAAAATGTCATATCATTTTAAACAAGATTAAAATTTTGACATGACTGGCTTGTAGAATATTCGAATAGTACTGTGGCAAATAGCTGTTTCTCTTGCTTTAGGTTGACTTATAAAGTGGATCCTGTATGGAATTGAGTTTATAGATGGTCTCTATTAAGCTTTTCAAACTAAAGAGTCTAATTCAGGGATTGAAAACTCTTCATCCTCCCAAATGAACAGCAGGCAAACTTTTCATGATATGAATGATATCATTACGAGGAGATTCAGGAAGAGCTGAACTTACCTTGTCTCGAGGTTTCTACAAGCACAAAAGGATCACAAATGGCATTTAAATAGTAAAACATCGTTCAGTGCATGCCCCTAAAAATGCGATGACTGGGCCTACTAGTTATCATGGTCCAATCACTAAGATCTGACAAATAAGCTCAGGAACTCCTGCTCTTATATAAGGAGGGAGAGGTGTATAGAGAATGCAATAGAGGTGGCTATTTAAATTTAATTTATTTAAAATGAAATAAACTCAAAAGTTCAATTTCCCACTCAGACGAGCCGCATTCTAAGTGCTCAGTAACCACACATGGATAGTGGCTACCCTTTTGAGCAGTGCAGAATTTATTTCTCTGAACCCAATAAAAATAATAACAACAATTCACATGTGTGTACTACCTGATATTTAAGTGTTGTCATATATTACCCAGTTACTACAAAACTGATGAGAAGAGTTTAGAAGTTTTATTTTGCTCTCTCAAACCTCAAGTCCAAGGAAATGAATTCTATGGCCAGTAAAAGGCAAAATTGAGAAATTAGCTTAAATCATCTGATTCCACATCAGAAATAGTTCCTCCTGACTATTTTAGCATCCCTATAGCTATACACTGTAGAAAAAGGAAAGATATTCTAACTTTTTTTTGGTAAGCATCAGAGTAGCATCATTATGTAGCTTGAAGATGTTTATTTTGAAAAACACACTTGTTTATATGTATACATCTTTATATCTAGTAGCTAAATCAGTATTCTTCATTGTCATATCTTGTATGTTGACAGTGCTTAGTTGATACCAATTCTCTTTTAAACCTCATGCCCAATACTTCTTTTCTTTTGTCCAGGAAAGAAGTGAAAAGCAAAAAATTTATGACACATTTTATCTTACAGTTTGTTCATTGTTTATGCCACAATTACTGTACGTGGGTTAATAATGATAATTTCTGAACCTAATAGTTTATGCATTAATATTTTGTCCCTGTCATGTCTTTAATTTTTACAATTAATTGTTTTAATAAAAGAAAGGTTAATTGCACTATTCATCAGAATTGCTTGCTGTGAAATGGTAGACAAATAAGAACCTTACAGATAAAGGGCATACTTACTAATCAAGCCTGTCATTTCTTTAGAAAGTAAACTTGCTGCGACAGCCGAATAGATTTATTTAATTTGCAAAATCTTGGGGTTCAGGAAAGTCTGCTAAACAAATGAAGTTGTAACAAGCTATCAAATTTATATTTATACTGGAACATATCCAGAGACACATGCGTTTATCTATGTCTAAGTCTATGTATACGTATGTGCATGTGTACTAAACACACATGTACACAAATTTACACTCATTTACTTATTAAACTACAACCTAGAAACCAAGATTTGATCTAAATGCATAAGAAGATACCTTGCCTCTTAAAATTATTAGTGCATGATAAAATAAATAATATTATTACATTCTTATTATAATGGATATAAAGCTAGTAAACATTATTTTGTTTCCATTCCACTAGGTATTTGGAATTTTTTAAAAGAATGATGACAGTTATGTGCTAGTCAACTCTTCTTTCAACCTTGGAAAAGTACTAGACAAGATCACAATGTAGTACAAATTTTAAACCTCTGAAACAGTTATTCACAAAATTTGGTCTGGGACCAACTGGCAAAAATGTGTATTTAGAAATGATCTTTGGGGGCTAATGCATAAGGCTAGAATAATAATGTGTACAATAAAGTAGGGATTGAATTTCCTTTCACAAAACTTGAAGTCCATAAGTAGGTAACACTGGGTAGCTCACTTCTAAGTTTTTGCTCTGCTATCCCTATTATTGGCTTTCACCTGCAATGCTGCTTCATGCTTACAAGCTGGTTACTGGAACACCAACCTTCTCATTCGTATTTTAGACTCGAGGAAAGGAAAAGAACATAAGGAGTACACATTCCAGTTGAGTCAACCCCTTTAATGAGTTTCTTTAGAAGGCCATGGAATGACTTACATTTATATTTTGTAGATATATAAAGTATGTGTGTGTGTATATAGAATACACACATTCATACTTATGCATATAGATGTGTGTGCATGTATGTGTATGTCTCCATATATATAGAATACACATATCACTCCCCAAAACAGACTTTCCTAAAGTCTCATTTAGTTGCTACATCTTTCATGAATTCCAGGACATGAGTAGTATAATCTTCTATGTTAAGATTGGATATTGTACCTTGTCGTCTAATAACTTATAATGTGCGGTACCTAACCAATGAAAATACTGTGGTAGAGAAGAAACACAATAACGAAATAAAAATGTCCTTCTGGAAAATGGAAAACACTAAGCAATCAGGGCGCTCAGAAATGATCAAATCCCGATGAACACACTAGTATAGATTACCTGCTCTAGAACAATTTGTTAATCCATCTGTCAGCCTTAGTTCTGCCCTTGACAAAGATCTTGTCTCTGGATCCTCCGTGCTATGTCTAGGCCTTGGAGAGAAAGGTCTTGCCTGGGGTGGCCCAGCCTTTTCCTCTTGGTGCAGGTTTAGAGCCAAAGGATTGTTTATTACAGGTTCATATGAACCAGGCTTGAACCATCTTTTTCTTTTTCTCTTTTCTTTTTTTACAATAAATTTCATTCCAAAAACATAGTAGATTTTCAGTCTGTTTGCTTCCAGTTAATTCCTTGGTTGAGTAACCACAACTCAAATCTTGTTTTGACATAGTTTTAAGCCTGGCAAGTCTTGTCTTTTACTTCCTTTTTTATAAGCTCTGCTTTTAATTACCATGATCAGTCTTTTACTTTCTGTTTCCTGAGCATTAGCCATTATTTCAAGAGCTTCACTCTTAAGCTTCTTGTTTAAACTATTGACCCTGAAAACAGTGGCTTGAGTGGAAAAGCAATAGCTTATTGCTGTCCTTGCAGAAGGCTGGACACCAGCTTTATCTCCAGCTAAAGCTGCAGTTTTAAAGCCACTACAATACAACCATTTCAATTTAGACTTCAGAAGCAGTTGGTTTTTCAGTCTGGTAAGGTTCCTATTTAAAAGTCCATTTAGTCAACATAGATTGCAGGACAAGGGCAGACAGCAGAATTTCCTTCCATTTCTGATTTGCTCTAGTCTGAGTTTATCTCTCCTTTATAGAACTTTGCTAAAAGTGGCAAGAAGGGAACCAGTAAATGTCAGCGTAATCCTTGCCATTTAGTTCTGTAGTATAGCTGGCTTCTTTTTTAAAATCATTTATAGAATAACCACATTTCACAAAGTCAATTTTTGGTTTTCTTTAGAGATAGCACTGTGTAATGCCATTTTGAGTAAAGATTCTTTGCCTGTTAGCATGGGTTTCATTTTTCTTTTAGAGTCATTAATAGCACAGATGGCCTAATATATAGGAACAGAGAAGCGTGTATTTTGTTCATGCCACAGGAAAAGCTAGTTACATGACAAAAGCCATTGCACCAGCCAGCGGTGGTTAAGTTCCTAAATTCTAAGGTGTGATAGTGACCGTTCTTAATATAAAAGTTTGGTTGATGGGTAGAAGAAGAGGTTATACTCACCAGTTTATACCATTCATAGACACGATCTTTCCCAGATATCTGTCATTCACTCAATCACTCAATAGTCACTAAACTTTATTATATGCCAGGTAAGTTGATTAGACTTTGAAAAAAAAAAAACAAAAATGAAACAAGATTGATATTAATACAATCTTTGCTCTCAGAAACCTTAAAATGTAGCATGATAGGTAGACAAAAATTCAGTTTGAAAAATAAGTCCATGTTGTTATAAGAGATTTGGGAGAGACAAACAGGATGCTAAGATACTGACAATAAATATTTATTGGACATTTCTTCTGTTTCAGACATTGTTTTAAGTGCTTTCCTTTATTAGCTTACTTAGAAGCCTATGAGGATCCTATTACTTACTTACAATCCTATGAGATGTTACTATTATCTCCATTTTACAAATTATGGAACTGAGGCCCGGAAAGGTTAAATAAGTTGCTCATAACTGCACAATGATTAAAGGCAGAGTAGATGTTAATCCTGTTATTTTAACGTAGAGCTATGCTCTTGATCACAACACTACACTCCCTTTCATGAGTCAAAAACCAGGACATTTTTTGGAGAGAAATGTCCATTTTTTGGAAAGAAAAGTGAAGATGAAACCTAAGCTAAGACCTGGAAGATAAGAAGGACTCAGCAATGATAAGAGCAGGAAAAGATTATTTTAGGCAAATAAAATTACATGTAGGAGGATCTCAAGATGGAAATGGGGATAGTGTCCTCAACACAATCAAACAGGCTAGTATGTCTGGGAAAAGTGTGAACAAATGAGGTAAGCAATAGAAGGATCACATAGAATTTTAGGCCATGATAGAAATTTAGATTTTATTTCAGATGCAAAGGGAAGTCATTGAGAGTGTTAAAAACCATTTTAAAAAGAAATCTGCCAAACATTGCTGTCCTTTCCAAGGGGCTTTGTAGTTTTTGGAATACTGTAGCAGAATAGTTAAAAATGAGATGGGCTCTTAAAATATGGCATCTGGTCATTCTATTCTTAACAGAAAAATCAAATCAACATGATTTTAAGTATTTTCAGGAAAAGCCACTTTAGGTTGAAATATTTTCATTCATACGCATCCTTCTTTTGTCTTGCGGCTTATCGGTGGAATACATAGCCACAGATAGTTCTTGTTTCTTCAATCAGAGAGAAAGAAATCAACAGATGGAAGATCAAAGGAGCAGCTGAGCAGATAATCTGGAAGAAATATTCAGCAGTTTATAGGTGGATGAATGAAATTTTGAGGGACTAGGATAGAAAGATACTCGATAAAAATGACTCGTAGTTTCTATCTTATAGATATTGAGATATTCCTTGATCTTTCATGATAGAAATAGTACAATGAGAAGGTGACTGAGCTTTCTATAGATATACATAAGGATTGCTTTTTACAAGTATCTAGTGTAGTACCTTCTCATGAAAGAGTGCAAGTTTCTTAAAGTATATTGCAAGTAAGAAAAAAAAAAACTTAACTAAACAAAGAAATGTTTAATATAAAACATTATTCCCCCAGAACTAAACATGTGGCTTTAATGCTTGGGAGCTTATTAGAAAATGTGACCATTCACCTACTTACAAATATAGTGAGTAGGGTTCTCTCCAAATGACATACAACTAGAGCTTTTAAATGGAAGACACGGTTTAAGAGAAAAAGTCTGCTTAGAATATTGAATCTAGATCTCACTAATCTCTTTCCGTGTATTGTATTTCATCCCTCTTCTTTCATTCAATGTTATTTTGTGTTATTTTGGGTACATATATATGCTAGTGTCCTTTGAAATTAGAAATTGTTTTATTTACCTTTCTTCTAGCATGCTGCTTACTTAGAGGACGGAGCACATACTGAATACTTTTTATGTAAATAGCACAATTGTTTACAATACAAGACAGATAAAACATTATGAACACATTTTAGGCACTTCCAGATCTAAAGTTCCTTACCTCTGTAGGAATATTCTCTCTTACTTATTGTTTTAATGTACATGAAAATAAATCAGAGCTTTTGGAAGTAATGTTCATTAAGTAACTTGCCATTTCCTACTTTCACCCTTTCCTCCAAGATCTGTTTTGGTCAAGAGATTTTTAAGCATTTCTTTTTTGAAACTTTTAAACATATATTTATTAATGTTCATAACACTATATTCTATTTATTTATGTCCATGTTTAAACTTTAGCTATTTTGAAAAGTAAACTTCCATAATCTGATAAAGAACACCTACAAAAAATATAAAGCTAAGTCATACTTAATGGTGAGAAACTAGAAGCTTTCTCACTAAGATCAAGAACAAGGCAAACATATCCCCTCTCACCACACATTTTCAACATTCTACTGAAAATTTTAGATAATGCAATAAGAAGAAAAAAGGTACAATAGGCATGCAGATTGGGAAGAAAGAAAGGAAACTATCTGTATTAACAGATGATATAATTGTCTACTTAAAAAATATCTGAAAACTTTTATTATAAACAAAGCAAAACAAAACCCTTCTGGAAGTAATAAGTGATTATAGCAACGTTGAAGGCTATGAAGTTAATATATGATAGTCAATTGCTTTTTTATATACCAGCAATGAACAAGTGAAATTTGAAGTTAAAATTTCATGATAAGGTATAAATAGAACAAAATTTGTATTAGATTTTTATGAAAAAAACTATCAAATTCTGATGAAAGAAATAAAATAATTATTAAGTAAATGGAGAGATATTTCATGTCCACAGATAGGCAAACTCAATGACAAAATGTTCATTTTTTTTCAAATTGATCCATAAATTCAATGCAATCCCAACCAAAATCCAAGCAAGTTATTTCATGGATATTGACACACTCATTTTAAAGTTTATATCGAGAGGCCAAAGATTTAGAATAATCAACACAATATGGAAGTGAGGATGGAAGTCAGAGCACTACACTACCTGACTTCAAGACTAACTACAGGCTTTAGTTTTAGACAGTACGGCAGTGGTGAAAGATTGGAATAACACATCAGTGGAGCAGGATAGAGAGTCCAGAAATAGATCCACATGAATATAGTCAAAGATCAACTTTGACAAAGGAGCACAGGCAATGCAATGGAGGGAAGATAAATAGTGCAAGGACACTGGACATCTACATCCAAAAAAAAAAGGAATCTAAACAAAGAACTTATACCCTCCAGAAAATTCGATTCAATATAGGTAATAGATCTAAATATAAAATTCAAAACTCTACATCTTGTAGCTGATAACATAAGATAAAATCTCTATGACTTTTGGTTTGATGATGACATTTTAGATACAACACCAAAGATACATTCCATGAAATAAAATTAATAAGCTGGACTTCATTGAAATAAAAAAATTCTGTTATGTGCAAATTATTATGAAGAGAATGAGAAGACAAGACACAGATTGGGAAAACATATTTTTTAAAAGGCATAACTTGTAAGGAATTGTTACCTGAAATACACAAAGAACCCTTGAAACTCAATAATAGTAAAGTGAACAACCTGATTAAAAAGTGGGCAAAAGACTTGAACAAACACATCTTACCATGGTTACATACAGATGGTAAATAAGCACATAAAAAGATGATCAACATCATGTTGAAGAATTGCAAATTTAAACAACAATGAGATTCCACTGTGCACCTATTAGAATGGTGCACTGACTTCACCAAAACCCTGACTTCACCAAATACTGGCAAGAATGTGGAGCAACAGAAACTTTCAGCCATTGTTGCTGGGAATGCAAAATGTATAGCCACTTTAGAAGCCAGTTTGGCAGTTTCTCATGAAATCAAACATACTCTTACCACATAATCCAGCAATTGTGCTCTTTTGTGTTTATCCATAAAAATTCAAAGCTTATGTCCACACAAAAACCTGCACACAGATGTTTATAGTAGCTTTATTTGTAACTGCCACAACTTGGAACCAACCAAGATGTCTTTCAGTTGGTGAACCGACAAATAAACTGAAGTACATTTAGACAATGGAATATTATTCAGTGCTAAAAAGAAAGGAGTATTCAAGCCACAAAAAGACATGGAGGAAGGTTGGGGACATTGGCTCACACCTGTCATCCCAGCACTTTGGGAGGCTGAGATGGGTGAATTGCTTGAACCCAGGAGTTCAAGACCAGCCTGGGCAACATAGTGAGACACTGCCTCTACAAAATGTACAAAAATTAGCCAGGCATGGTGGTGCACACCTGTAGTTCCAGCTACTTAAGAGGATGAAGTGGGAGGATAGCCTGAGTTCAGGAGATCAAGGCTGCAGGGAGCCATGATTGCACCACTATACTCCAGCCTGGGTGACAGAGCAAGGCCTTGTCTCAAAAAAAGAAAAAAGACATGGAGGAAATTCAGATGCATATGATGTAGTAAAAGAAGTCAATCTGAAAGAAGCCAGTCTACATACTGTATGATTCCAGTTATATGACATTTTGAAAAAGGCAAAACCACTGTGGAGATAGTAAAGGGATCAGTGGTTGCCAGGGATTAGGGGTAAAGAGGGATAAATAGAATGCAGAGAATTTTTAGGGCAGGAAAACAATTTTGTATGTTTATATCATGGTACACACATGTAATTATTCGTCAAAAACTATAGAAAGTACACCAAGAGTGAACCCTAGGTAAACTGTGGGTTTTGGGTGATAATGATATGTCACTGTAGGTTCATGGATTGTAACAAAATAGATTGTAACTCTGGTGGGGAATGTTGACAGTGGAGGAGGTTGTCTGTGCTCAAGGAGCATATAGGAATTCTGTACGTTGTGCTCAATTTTGCTTTGATCCTAAAACTGCTCTAAAAAATAAAGTCTATTTAAAAATAGTACATTTGAAATACTTTGAGTGCCTAGAAGGACAGACTCAAGTCTTAACCATCTCAGTATCCTGGGGTAAGGATATCAGTATCCTCTGCCTCTCTCTAGGCCATTATTGCTAGGCAGTTTGTATCATATTTTTATTACATATTATAGTTTGTGATAATGGGTCGAGATTTAAGATTAAGTTGGAATGCAAATGAGGAAAGATATAATTATGAGAATTAAAAGAAAGGAGCTTTCAATTCCTAAATAAATGTGGTTTTGTTTTATTTTTAAAATCATATATGTATTATTAAAACATATTTAGCAAGATTATTGTGTGAACTATCTTCTTTAAAATTTTGATACAATAAATATGTTATACATGTTTTAAAGAATCCTTAAACAGTGCTACATTCTTGCATTCCTAAAATGAAACTACTTAATCATATTTTATGTATTCAATATGCTGGTAAACTAGATTTGAAAGGACTTTATTTAGAACTATTGCTTTCAAATTTTTAAGGCAAAGCAGGCCTTTGTTATACACAGTATACTTTTTTCTGTACAGAGGGAACATCAAAGATTTTATAAGGATACTCTTATCTTTAAAATATAGAAAATTGTCACGTTTGCTGTGCTTTGAAACATTTACATATGCTATAAGAATAATATATTATTTGACATTTTTGGCTGGGCGCAGTGGCTCAAGCCTCTAATCCCAGCACTTTGGGAGGCCAAGGCAGGCAGATCACGAGGTCGGGAGATTGAGACCATCCTGGCTAACATGGTGAAACCTCGTCTCTACTAAAAATACAAAAAGAAAAATTAGCTGGGCGTGCTGGTGGGTGCCTGTAGTCCCAGCTACTCAGGAGGCTGAGGCAGGAGAATGGTGTGAACCCAGGAGGCGGAGCTTACAGTGAGCCGAGATTGCACCACTGTACTCCAGCCTGGGTGACAGAGCGAGACTCCGTCTAAAATAATAATAATAATAATAATAATAATAAAAATAAAGAATAATATATTATTTGACATTTTCACTGATGCTACTTGTAAAACTGTCTAGACCTAAAAAATATTTTGCTGATATCCTATTTTAACAACACTATCAGTTTCTACACTGGTTTTACATTTAATTTGATTTGATTTTAGTGATCTCGATTGTACTTTCTGAATCTAATACTTTAGGATTTTTCTAACAGATTAACATTGATTGGAGCATAATGCTAATTTTCTTTTTCTCTGTAGTTATTATTTTATTTCTGTTTTCTTTCTGCTATTTTTAATTAGATTTGGAAAGGTTTCTTTGTAAATTTTTCATAGAGTCAATACTTTCATTTGCACTATTATTTACATCTTCTTCTCCTTATTTTGTTTTCAATATGTGTGTATTTTTCCTTTTAATTTGAAAGAATTTAATGCTATGAATTTGCCTCTAACTAAAGCTTTGACTACATTTCATAAGCTTCAACACATAGTATTCTCAAAATTTTATCTTCTATGAATTGTCTGTAATTTCAAGCTTTTGGAATGTTTCCATTTTCATTATTTAGAAAGGTTAATTTGTTTTTTAAGTTGCTGAAATTTGTGTTACTAACACTAGTTCTATTCCACTATGATCAGCGAATATATACTGAATGTCCTGCTTGCTTGCAAATGCCCTACTTGGTTTTCTAAAAGAGAAGAATGGAATTTTAGGATTGACTCACTCTATAGGCATTAGGTAAAAGCATTCATCTTACCTATTTTTTTCCAGTCTCATTAAGAATTCTGAATTTAAAAGGGCATTGAAATATGAATAGGAGCAAGGTCTGTAATTTAAAAGCAGGGTTTATTTTGAAATCCCTTTTGGTGCTATTGTTTCTATATGTTGCTTTCCAACAAATTAAGTTCTGTATTCCTGGTGCTTCTTACCTAAGTTGATATGTACCTCCTGCTAGATTTGATGTGTTTATTTGGCGCTAGGAGCTAGCACCTCACCCATTTCTTGATAATCTTGTGTTTTTGCTGTTGTGACAACTGTTCTAGAAAAAGCCATGGTCTGAATTGTTCTTTTATACTAAAAGACAAACTATTTTACACATTTGGGCTAAGCCTAAGTGGTTACTTCTCTCATATTCTGCTTCTAACTTTCATTCACACTATAATGGTCATTATTGTTTCTAATAAGGAACTATTTGAACTTAATTAATTATCATTTAAACTACCTGCTGTTTGTTTGAAGTGAATAGAATATCCAGTGTTTCATCAGATGTAAAATAAGCTATCTTATAATTATTGCTTTAATCTAAAAAGAAATCAATATGAGGTGATGGTGGCAATTTCTATTTCAGAACAGCATAGAGATTGTTATTTTTTCAAGACTACAGGGTGAATCAATGTTAATTTGCACCTGAAAACTAAGAATTCTGAGAGCCTCCTTTGTCTCTAGCTAGCTGACCTTCAACCCCAGGTTAAAAAAATAGCAGAAAAAAACTTTCACTTTCTGTTGATTGTCACCAGCTTAAATATAGTCAAATATACTGTTGTCAGTACATGCCACATCTAAAGAACACTGTTTTAGTATCTATTAAATTGATGATTACAAAGCAAGGATTATTTCTTCATGTTTGCAGAGTAGACTCAGAGTAGAGGAGGAACACGTGTGGAAATGAAAATGAATATGCCACTCAGAAATCATGCATCAGCAAAGTAGGCCAAGTTAAACGTGAGATTTTAATAGCACACTGCTAATTATGCTTCTCTTTCTATATTCCACCACTACATACTTACACATCCCATATAAGAAATGGAACTTTTTAACATTCCCTAATATTTTAAAGTGATAAGCCGAAATTACCCTTTGGAACACATAATTGTTAGTAATAAAAAGCTGCTACATTTCTATACTATAAAGATGTGTTTTGAGCAACAAGCAGATTCTATATCTTAGCTGTTCTTGTGCATCAGTTAAATTAGAATGCTTTGATATGTTAATTATTTATCATTTTAAATTATACATCTTCTAAAATCAAAGAAACACATAACCTATAATTTATTATTCATTTAGCATGAAAACTTGTCTTTATGTGGCTGTTTCTCTTCTAGGTACAGAATTTTTGTTTTGATGTAAAACTTACCAACATATGGCTTGAAGTACAAGATGGAAATGTTAAAAAAAATGCACACATGAAACCTCAATTATTTGTTCCCCAGTACCATTTTATCATTTTATATGTCTTACTGATGTTCTAGGCTCATGCCATTAGGGACAAATATATATATTTGACACTAAATATTTGGATTTAGTTCTTATTACAAAATTCACCAATGAATTCAGACAAATACATGAAATGTATAGCAAGTTGAGGTGAATAAAGGGTTCTCTGTAATCAAATGATCAAGATTCTACATTATTCTCCATATCCAGTTTGTACTGAAGAGAAATATGTAGCTAGAAAATACAAAATCTTCTACCTTGGTGCTCTTAAACAAAGAAATTATCTAACTAACCATTTAGTCATGCAAATAAATTAATATGGCACACTTAGCGTTGATGTGTATCTTAGTGATTGCCCAAAGAAATAATAAACATATACAAGCAAAAATTGCCTCCATAATTGCAAGATTATTATTATTTAGGAGTATTTATGCAAAAAGTTGAGGATGAAAATACAGAGAAATAATTTCCAACATTATAGCTTTTCCTCCACTTTGTCTAATGCCGTATTAGAAGTTACAACTGTCTTTTGAGAATACCACATTTATTGAATGCTTAGTAACTATGAAAGCAAACTGTTACACTCCATTTATATTTTATATTTTTGGGAGTATTTTCTTTACAAATTAAGCTTCAGGCCCTTTTAAATAAAGATCCTTACTCTTCTAATGTGATTATGTCTTAGAATGTCATCCCTAAAGTGTAACTGTGCTGAGTATATTTTCAAACCCAAAATAGGATCACAAGTGTGAATGCTTATGAAGACAATACAACAGAATACATAGCATTATGACTACTTGGGAAATCCAGACCGATGTATTAATCCAAATCCATACCTAATACGTATTTTTCTCAATGTTTTGAAGATACTAAGCCCAAACTCCAGGGAATTTTTCTAATGTATAAATTTTGTGTACTGTGTCAAATAATTTGAAATGAATATGTGGGTTAGGCACTCTTTAAGAACTTTAAAGCTCATTTACTACAAGCTCAATAACTTGAGGCATATAGTGAGAGTAAATCCCAAGGTAGAATAGAGACTCTAAGTGTAATAGACAAACTCCATGGTGGCCCCAAATGGTCTCTATCTCCTGGCATTCACACCCCAGTGTCATCCCTTGCCCGTAAGTGCAGACTGTATGTGAGGATTCTGTTCTGATGATCAGAATACTGTGTGAGTGATGGGATGTCACTTCCAGGATCCGGTTGTATAAAGACTATGGAACCCTTATGGGTACTCTTTTTTGTTCTGTCACACATTCCCTCTCTGATGCCTTACACTAAGGGATGAAAACTGTTATGTTGTAAACAGCCCTAGGTAGAGGCCTGGATTTCTGCCCCATAGAAATTGTGTGTATAGTTCTATCATAAAGACACATGCACATGTATGTTCATTGCAGCACTATTCGCAATAGCAAAAACATGGTATCAACCTACATGCCCAGCAGTGGTGGACTGGATAAAGAAAATGTGGTACATCTACACTATGGAATACTATGCAGCCATAAAAAAGAATGAGATCATGTCCTTTGTAACAACATGGATGGAGCTAGAGGCCATTATCCTAACTGAACTAATGCAGGAACAGAAAACCAAATACCACATGTTATCACTTATAAGTGGGAACTTAATATTGAGTACACATGGACACAAAGAAGGGAACAATAGACACTGGGGTCTACTTGAGGGTGAAGGGTGGGAGGAGGGTGAAGATCACAAAACTGCCTCTAGGATACTGTGCTTATTACCTGGGTGATTAAATAATCTGTAAACCAAACCCCAGTGATATACAGTTTACTCATGTAACAAACCTGCTCATGTACCCTAAACCTAAAATAAAATAAAAAATTGTGTGATTAAAAAAGTTTGTTGTTTTAGGCCACTAAATCTTGGGGTAATTTGTTTCACTGCAATAGATAACTAACACTCTAGGCAAAAGATACTATAGCAAATGCAGGGACAGGGAGCCTGGGATTCTAAAAACTCATGTAATTCTGTAGATAAACCTGCTATTGCCATGGTGTGTATAGGAGTTGAGTGGTCTAATGGTCTTTTATGTTAGTCCCAATTCCTGCAAGGATTTTCTGCTATCTTAAATCCACTCATAAAACACTCTGCATTTTTCCTATAAAATGCTTGGAGTGAATGAGATAGTCAAGTATTAAAAGACCATTGCCAACCTTTAAAAAAAAATCCTGTATAAGAACAGCAATATTTTATAAGCACTTATGTAAATCACCTTTACTATTTAGAAAATCAAGATATTGCCTCCAATATATTCCTATAAAAAAATTTTCCTGATAAAAAGAGCTTTAGAAAGTTTCCTTTGCCAACATTCTATTTCTCCCACCATTTCTTATTATGAGAGATAATAATCATACCTTATACTCTAGGACAATAGTTCCTACAACATAAATCATCATAACATTAAATCTTAATATTTATTGCCTGTTCTATCTTGCTGCTGACAGTCCTATTAATGCTTCACTTAGCAAGTAAAAAAGCAATACCTCAGTACTATATAGTACTAGAGAAGATTGAGAAAACTCTTTGTACACAAATCAGCTGAAAGCATAACTTATCTGTTACAGCACAAGAAGGTTAAACACGTGGCCATAAAAATCCCTGCAGTCATGGTAACTGGAGTCGAGGTTGCCTCTATTGCTTTAATAAATCCTTTAAGTATGCTTTCAATCTCTCAACAATTCCTGACAAAGCTTGTGTGCTGTTGTTGTGAATCTGCCTACCTCAAAAGTCCTGATGGTGAATATTTCATGTGGCTTATTACTTCTCTGTGTTCCCAGTCTAGAAGAGAAGTGAGTATACTGCTTGCTAGTGTTGCTTAATACCTTATTAGTTGAAGATGGATTTGTACTTTCAGCCTTTAGCCACCTAATTTCCTGTTATGGAAGATAAAAATTTTCTTTTTGCAAATGATGAATGAGGTGATTATATTTCACAAATTTTAAGGCCACGGACCATTAACTGAATCACTCTGAGCACTTGTCATTTTACCCATATGTATGTAAAATGAAAAGAGAGGGTTGGGTTGTTGTAGTACCTGACTATTGCCACAAAAAATCCCTCATAAACTCCACATGAAAACTTTATTTGGGCAGCTGTAAGGCTGAAAAATCAATATAAAAAATTAACTCTTTCTGAAAGAAATTAGGTGATTGCGCGTGGTGGCAGGCGCCTGTGGTCCCAGCTGCTCGGGAGGTTGAGGCAGGAGAATGACGTGAACCCGGGAGGTGGAGCTTGCAGTAAGCCGAGATCGCGCCACTGCACTCCAGCCTGGGGGACAGAGGGAGACTCCGTCACAAAAAAAAAAAAAAAAAAAAAGAAATTAGGTGATTGCTTATAGTGAAATTTGGATTTGAGGTAATTACCTTCTCGTTATTCTTAGGATCTTTGATAGAGTAAAAACTAGAAAATTATTACAAACCACATTAGGAGGGTATAAATTGATGAGTATATTTGTTCAACTGTGTATGCCATTTTATTGCCGATTTATGAGATTAGACAAAAAATAACATTGCAACATTAAGAAGAAATGAATTTATTAGGATCCTTTTCTTGCTGGGTATTCCAAGAGAGATAATTTTGCTCCAGTCTAATGAGCATTGACTCTTATTTCTAGTTTAATGATTATGGCTTGACTTTTCCCAATGACAACTTAAGTCAGGCAACATAAACAAAATAATTGTTAAGGTGTCTGTTA
Source organism: Homo sapiens (assembly GCF_000001405.40). NCBI lineage: Eukaryota > Metazoa > Chordata > Mammalia > Primates > Hominidae > Homo > Homo sapiens. Next base: position 164,881,438 of record NC_000005.10, read on the forward strand.
AGGAATCGAAATGCAAAAGTCACCACACCTACAACATTAATCCTACCACTTCTTAATCGTAGAGATCCCCCCGCCCCAACGCCCCCCATCCCCCGATATGGGATCATAAAACCCACACATGACGTAAGTGAGTTTACAAACCTTTAGGCTGATTACATTAACATCAGCTGGAAAAATAAGAAGACTTCAGCATCGGCCGGGCGCGGTGGCTTATGTCTATAATCCCAGCACGGGCTTTCAAGATGGATGGAGCGCTGGTGTAGGCAGCCTTAGCCAGACACTCTGCTCCTTTACATTGAAAACCAATTGGATGCTTAATCTTCAGAATGTTGCCCTCTTCAACCTCTTCCTCTTTATCTCTTCTGTTTTGCTGTGTCTCACTGATTTAACAGATTTTATATTTAGGTATTAGACCTATTATATTTCTTTAATCTGATATATGCAATTTCTAATAATTACTACGCAACATTCAGAGGTCTTAAATTTCTTTACTTAATTTGCTGGTTATTAGATTTCCTAGGTTTCTTAAAAGATGCAAGTTTAGGTTAAAATGGTATATCAAGAAAGATTTTAGGACGGGCATGGTGGCTCACGCCTGTAATTCCAGCACTTTGGGAGGCTGAGGCGGGCAGATCAGTTGAGGTCAGGAGTTCAAGACCAGCCTGGCCAACACGGTGAAACCCCTTCTCTAATAAAAAATACAAAAAATTAGCTGGGCATGGTGGCACAGGCCTATAGTCCCAGCTACTCAGGAGGCTGAGGTACCAGGATTGCTTGAATCTGGGAGGCAGAGGTTTCAGTGAGCAGACATCACACCACTGCACTCCAGCCTGGGCAACAGAGTGAGACTCAGCCAAAAAAAAAAAAAAAAAAAAAAAAAAAATCTATCTATCTATCTATCTATCTATCTATCTATCTATCTATATATATATGTATTATATATTAGATAACCCTGTCATCTTTTCAGTTTATAGAATAGGGTAGAACAAATCCAGAGAGACTTATTTTTTGCTATTGCTTTTACTAATAAAAATCAAATTACAGAACATCCATTAAAAATTTTACTTAAATAATCTGCTGACCCCATGGTGCATTCCTCCTCCGGTTGGGTGTAAACCTGCTGTGGTAGAATAAAGGTAGATTAGGAAGGTGTTTCAAACCAGGTGTCCAGACTGTTCAAACCTGGCACCAAGAGTCTTTGGGCTTTTGCCTCCTTCCAGGAAGCAATGTCAACGAGGAGATCAGGCCAAGAAATGAAGATATCCACCTTCATAAGACATGTTAAGGGTTGAAGATGTTCTCAAACACCGAGACTTAGAGTCAAAATCTTAAACATAACCAAACTAATCAAGTAACCAACAGAAACAAAAATAATATCAAAAGCCTTCCTTCCTTTGCTTCTTCTGATTCTACCTAAGTTTTTATTCAGTGCCTCCCATAAGGTGGTCTTTCAATGTCACCTGTTCTGGTGCTCTATGAGCCCCACACTTCTGGTTCCAACAGCTGGTCTGTCTTTATCTCCTGGGAGCTTAGTTTTTGCCTATGGTAGACACTTATTTTTTTCATATTTTAAGAAATGTTCATTTATATCTAAATTACTATGGGACAGACCCTTGTATTTGTTTTTCCCCTACCTCTAAATACCCAGAACCAACTAATCTTTATTTAATTTAGGAGCTGAAAAGCTTCTTTGAAAGTCATAAATGCTCTAAGAACTGTTGAATATGGTACATTTCTTCTGAAAATTCAACAAAGCTTGAAATATATACCCAGACTTTTCTTTACTAAATAAAACATGAGACATAACAAAAAATTGTATCTGTGTCCAGCCAAGTTGTCTCAGTTTAAAACTTACTTGTATTAATTAATAAATTATTGAGAGTTATATTAAATCTGAATAGAAACCTAGTCACATTAGGATCCTTTATGAGAGATGTAACAACAATATGACATAATCCAATAAAACAATAAGAACTTCTGCTTATGAATTGTTAACTTAGCCCTGTATTAGATCCTGAAGAGATTTAAGTGATATCCTATACACTGTGCACAATATTTTTAATGTATTATCTAAGTGAGACCTCACAACCACCATACGAATTAGAAGGGTGGGACTGAACTGAAAATAAAATGAGTTTACTTGCTCAGTTAGTGAGAAATGTTGAAACTAGATCTGTCTTCCTTCAAAGTGTATACATTAAGGGTTACTCAATTCTGCCCTCAATGAATTTTATCTTTTGTTTGAAATATCTTGCAAAGGTAGGAGATCAGTAAATGTTTATTTAATAAATAAATGAGATATCTTATGTATAATTGGATTTTTCCCAGGGTTTAAAGACTAGTTACTATAATACTGATCCCTGCCCTAAAATATCCAGTTCTCACCACCTTAACTCTAAGTCTGAAGGTGAGTTAGAGGATCAAAATGTTAAAGCTCGCCAATTATTTCTTGGTAAGATGCTAATTTGCTAAGGGTAATACATGTTTGTAAAAAGAAATTACTTTTTTTTTTTTTTTAGCAAATAACCAGAATTTATCAAAGAGGTAGGATTAAAGTTTAAAAATATTCACTATGGAATTGCTGTATCAAATAACAGTCTCGGTTTTAAGCTAGCTCCAGCTGTATTTTGTGGGAAAGCTTTATAGAAGTTCTATGTCTCAGGCAAGTAAAATGCTAAGATGTTATAAATCTGGTTCCCCTAAAAATTTGCGAATCAATTATAGAGTATTTCCAGCCTCATCATAAGATAAAGGAATATACATCTAGCCAGAAATGACGAAATATTGGTCAAATAGAATTTGTACTGAAGGTCATGACAAGTGTAGTATTTCCTAGTATGTTAAAGTCCATGTAGTCCTCTAGAAATTTTGAGTTACAGGAGACAAATATGGATTAACTTTCCTTGAGATAAACTTAATCATTTAAAAATATTTCCTATGCTTAATGGGGTAGGCAGAATAATGGCCCCCAAAGATAGCCTAATCCCAAGAACCTGCAAATATGTTACCATGTATGGCGAAAGGGATTTTGCTGATGTGATTAAGTTAAGGATCTTCAGACAGGGAGATTAACCTGGATTATCTAGGTAGACAGAATGTAATTACAAGTATCTATGTATTAAAGCCGGAGATAGGAAAGTCGGAGTCAGAGAAGTCTGAGGTGGAAACAGAAGTTGGAGTGATGTGGGGCATGAGCCAAAGAAGTCTGAAGTTCCTAGATGCTTGGAAAAGGCAAAGAAATGAATCCTCCCTTAGATATTCCAGAAGGAACGCCCGCTGCCAACACTTTCATTTTAGCCCGATGACACTTATTTTGGATTTCTGACCTTCAGAACTGTAGGAAAACAAATGTGTATTGTTTCAACCACTAATTTGGTGTTAACTTGTTATGTCAGTAATAAAAAAACTAATAGGCTTCTTACAGGAAAAATTAAGCTGCTACGTTAGTGTGTCTTTAACCAAATCACACATCCAATCCCCAAATGTCTCTGCACTCTGTACCCTTTGAGGAGGAGATGGATGAGACTTTATTCACTCTGTGAAGGACAATTTTGACTAGAAGGGTGATCAGTTCTTTCTGGTTTGACAAAAACTTTCTAGATTTTAGTATTGAAAATCTCAGATACTGAAAACTCCTTTAATTTCAGACAATGCATGATAGTTTTTCATCTTAAACTTAATTGAATTTCTAGATGAGTGAAGCTGTGTCCTCACAATTAAAACAGTGAGAGAACCAGCTGATTTGTTGAGGGTCGGTGATGTGCTATATAGAAAAATTGCATTTGTCAGATGGACTGTTTATTAAAGCATTCAGAAAAAAAAATGGCGTGGGGTCAAAATTGCTCTTGAAAATTCCTTAGGAAGGTTTCAGGTCTGAGACAGACATAGCGTCTCTCAGCAAGTCTGACACTGACAGGTTTTCTCCCAGAGCTGTGACAGATTGCTCTTTCTCTGGTTAAGTCCCAGAAGGAATTAGCTTGTTTTTAGGCACCATGTGGTATAAAAATCACTTAAAACTGGTTTATTGAGTAGTCTCAACTCAGTGGGGGTGTAAACATGAAGCAGCTTATTTTTCTACAATCACTGTTTTCAACTGTGCTCTATCAAAATGTCCTTACTGACATTTCTGGCAGATTACATTACTTTTCAGCAACTGGTTATTTGAAGTCCACTTTAATGTAAAACTTTTATGCCACTCTATTTAAATATTGTTTCTTCATGTAGCCTCAAGCTGGGAACCTGCATACTGCTGGAGGTTAGAGGGTGGAGAAAGAGGAGGGCATCTTCTGCCTCTGAAATGTTCTCTGCCTTTCTCTCTGGGGGCTCCCTGTTACCAATGTGCTGGTGAAATGAGGCAGGAGATAGAAAGAGACAAATATCTCCATTCACTTGGCTGCTGTGTAGTTGACTTTGTCGCAGTAGTGACCACTTCTCTGGCTAGGAGGCTTGGCCTCTCATGTGCTCTTGGAGAGCATTAAGTGTGAATTCATCTGAAGGCCGTGATGAACCTCCCCACTTCCTTCAGCTCCATCAGGATCTACCAATTGTCATCAAGAGTGAGCCTCACAGCCTTCTTGCCATTTGGGGTCTTTGGCCCAATGGACAGCCAACATGGGCAAGACACTGACTAGATGGCTTCAGCCCCGCTTCCCTAGTGGGGTCCTCTTGACTTCTGGGAAATATGCACCTTGAATACCCCAAACAGTGAGACAACAGGCTGCTCCACATTTTGTCTTCCCCTGCCTTGACCTCTTTTTCCAAGTCTCAGAATTAGCACAGCAAGGTGAATGCTTGAGCAGACAGCAAATTGGAAACCAAGTCATAGCCCTCTGTTCTTAGCTCTCCCAGTCTCTAAAAGTGATTTTCATGGAACTGTAATTTCTCTCGATTTGTTGTGGGAAAAGATCATGTAATCACTCTCCAAAAACACTATTTTCCTGGAGACTCTCTTTCCCGTTCCTTCTGCAAACCTCTGTTTATAAGGATTGGGGCTTAGCTGGGGAATGGAAGGGAATATGGGAGGATTCACCGTGGCCAGAAAAACTACAGTAACTTTTAGTAAACCTAAGTAGGGGTTTAGAATGTAGGTAGTGCCTCTTTGTTTTCATCATCGGGAATAAGTCATTAATTATGGTAAGCACATATCATTACTTACTAGGGATCATTCTCAGCTGGACAGAATGTTCCCTGAACAAAAGTAAGAGAGAGAATACAGATGCATGGCTCACACACGTGCTAAATCAGGGTGCATCCTCATTTGGTGGAATCGGAGGCAGAACTAGCTACTATTTATACTGACCTTGTTTGTTCATAGGTAGAGCATAGTTAATGTGAGTGTGCATATTTAACTTTAAGTTACATACATGTACAACATAAATGGACCATAGTAGAAAAATGGTCTTTGGACAGACTAGAATGGGAGAACCTTGAAAAGCTGTCACAAAACTGTATATTTTTGGGGTTTATTGAAATGTTTGATCAGGTGCGGTGGCTCAAACCTGTAATCCCAGCATTTTGTGAGGCCAAAGCGGGCGGATCACCTGAGGTCAGGAGTTCGAGACCAGCCTGGCCAAAGTGGTGAAACCCCATCTCTGCTAAAAATACAAAAAGAAATTAGCGAAGCTTAGTGGCGCACGCCTGTAGTCCCAGCTACTTGGGAGGCTGAGGCAGAAGAATTGCTTGAACCCAGGTGGTGGAGGTTGCAGTGAGCTGAGATCATGCCATTGCACTCCAGACTGGGTGACAAGAGCAAAACTCAGTCTCAAAAAAAAACAAAAACAAAAACGTAATGTTTAGTAAGAGGATGGTAACAAATACAAAAATATCTGTAAATTATTTTTAAAAACCTACAAGGAATCAACAAGACTATGGAATATTCTAGAAGGCAAATAATGTAGTTCTTTTTCTGAAAAATCAAAAAAATGAAATTTGGCAAAAGACAAATTGAAGACAAACTTATAGATTTAAAGAGAGCTAAGAGATATATTAACCATTTGCAATTTATGGACTTTTCAAAAAAATTCAAATTCAAGCAAACTGTAAAGTTAAATAAATATGTTTATAATTTCATTAGAGAGACCTAAACCCTGGCATTATGTTATATAATATTTAGAAATTATTTTGTTAATTTTTTCAAAGGTGGGACAATAGAATTGTTTGTATCTTCAAAATGAGTGTCCATTTTTAAGAAAAAGACTGAAAATGTTTGCAGACAGAATCATAAAATTTCTTGCATCTGCTTGAAAACACTTAGGGTAGGGGAAGGTTGGGGACATAGAAGAAAAAGAATTACCATGAGTTGTTTTGGATAGGTGCTTGGGAGTTTTTTATACTATTCCTATTTTTGTGCCTGTTCAAACTTTTCTGTGATAAAAAGTTATAAGTACATTTATGAGTACATTTTTATCATGAAAATGTTAATTTCTAAGGATACCCCCCCACCATGTAATCTTCGTAAGTGTTGTGAGTTTCCCACTGTTATATGACTGCTAATTCTGGACTTTTTGACATGTAGTTTTGAGGTGGTTTTGATTGATCCCGAAAGAAAATCAATACTTCTTTATACCTAGAATAAACAATCTGGATACAGAGGATATTGAATAGACATTCATCTGGACCATTTTCTTTCTTTTCTACCAAATTGATAGAAACATATACAGTATTCAGATCTTTAGATGTGTAGATCACTAGGTAAGCATTGATATATACTGGAATATCATGCAAACCAGAACAATTTATGTGAGAAATGTCTACATCATTCCAAGACTCTTGGAGACTAAAGACAATCATTTTGTTTCTATAAAATGAAGGATGAAATTAGAGATTACACATGAATTCAGAAGCCCAGACTTCCCATCTTCTAAAATCCATCACATTCTTCATCAAACCAGAGTCTATATTATATTGTGAAGCTTCAGTTCAATGTACTAAAGTGAGAATATTAAATTTAGTCTAGATTAAGCGGGTCTAAAAAGATAGCTTTTTTGATTTTCTGAAATATCACTTTTTAATAATGATAAATATTTCTAGCTTAATTAATCATCGTGCTAATTTATTCTAGCCTAATCCTGTATTTTTACTGATATTAAAGATGAGCATGTCAGAAGGATTTAAATAGTATCCATTTGGAATCACGCTTAAAAACATGCAAAATGATTTTAAACTCATTTTTCTCCACACTCCATGGGTCTTAATTTGCTGTTCATAAATCAATATATTTATTGCTAGGATACATATATATATATTCCTATATATATATTGCTATATATATTCCTATATATATTCCTATATATATATTCCTATATATATATTCCTATATATATATTCCTGTATATACATATTCCTATATATATATTCCTATATATATATTCCTATATATGTATTCATATATATTCCTATATATTCACATATATATTCCTATATATATATTCCTATATATATTCCTATATATATTTCTATATATATTCCTATATATATATATTCCTATATGTATATTCCTATATATATTCCTACATATATATTCCTATATATAGTCCTATATATATATTCCTATATATAGTCCTATATATATAGTCCTATATATATATTCCTATATATATTCCTATATATAGTCCCATATATAGTCCTATATATATTCCCATATATATATTCCTATATATATATTCCCATATATATATTCCTATATATATATTCCCATATATATATTCCTATATATATATTCCCATATATATATTCCTATATATATATTCCCATGTATATATTCCTATATATATATTCCCATGTATATATTCCTATATATATATTCCCATGTATATATTCCTATATATATATTCCCATATATATATTCCTATATATATTCCCATATATATACCTATATATATATTCCTATATATATATTCCTATATATATTTATTCCTATATATGTATTCCTATATATATATATTCCTATATATGTATTCCTATATATATATATAGTCTAGCAAAGACTAGAAAGTAATTTTCAACAAAGTAACTAATAATATAAAATAATTTTGATTTATGTCACCTAAAAATATCATGTTGTTTATATCTAAGCATAATTTGTTTCTATAAATATTCTAGAATGTTTTTTCTTAAACAATGTCTTTAAGATTATTCCAAATATGTTAATAGTTATACAGGGACTATCATAAGGAGGCTCCCTGGCCGGGTGCAGTGGCTCACGCCTGTAATCCCAGCACTTTGGGAGGCCGAGGCAGGTGGATCACAAGGTCAGGAGATTGAGACCATCCTGGGTAACATGGTGAAACCCCTTCTCTACTAAAAATATAAAATAAAATTAGCTGGGCATGGTGGCGGGTGCCTGTAGTCCCAGCTACTTGGGAGGCTGAGGCAGGAGAATGGCGTAAACCTGAGAGGCAGAGCTTGCAGTGAGCCGAGATTGTGCCAATGCACTCCAGCCTAGGCGACAGAGCAAGACTCCATCTCAAAAAACAAAAAAAAAAAGAGAGGCTCCCTGGTGAAATATGCTTATGAAACAGTAAAGATGATATGTTCCTCTCAGGAAGTTTTGGAACATGTTAGCATAATAAAGGCTCTGATAAGTCCTCTATGTATTATGTGAACACTTCTCAAGCTTATTTCATGTTACAATTTTTTGAAATTTGTATTAAAATATTTCAGAGCACTAATGTTCATAGATCTCAATTATAAGATGCCTCTTTAAAATGTTCTTTCTAATAAGAGCAGAGTTTCAAAATAAATGCCTCATTTATTTCAATATATGAATAGAACGTTAGAAGTTTTAAAAAATTAACCACATATAAAATGATGTTTACCCAACAAGAAGAATGTATTATATACATTTATTATGTTCTATATACTCTATTGCTTATACACAGGGAAACACCTTAACTGTGGATAGAATTGGTCAGTGTTATTTTTGGGGTCATTTTGTAGAGCAAGTGAGAGAAGAAATAAAGGAATGAATTAAAATAGGGTAGTAGGGATGGAGAAGAAAATATGAATTTGAAAGTATTTATTTTGTCTGTTCGTTGTTGTTTTTTTGTTTCATTTTTGTTTTGTCCTGTTTGAGATGGAGTTTCACTCTGCTTCCCAGGCTGGAGTGCAATGGTGCAATCTCAGCTCACTGCAAACTGTGCCTCTCTGGTTCAAGAGATTCACCTTCCTCAGCCTCCCAAGTAGCTGGGATTATGGGCATGAGCCACCACACCTGGCTAATTTTTGTTTGTTTGTTTGTTTGTTTTTAGTACAGACAGGATTTCACCATGTTGGTCAGGCTAGTCTCGAACTCCTGACCTCACGTGATCTGCCTGCTTCTGCCTCCCAAAGTGCTGGGATTACAGGCATGAACCACTGTGCCCAACCATGTAGCTTTAAATACACATAGAGACAGGCCATAAGCTTGCATAGCAAAATAGTAATGGTAGTTTTCCCGTGGTACTGTGATTAGGGAAATTTTCACATTCTTCTATTTTTCTGTATTTTTCATACATTTCTACACTGGCCTTGGGTTATCTATCTCTGTATCTGTCTTTCATCTATCTTTCCATTTATCCCTCCAACTATCTATCATTTTTTTTCTAAACGTTTTTTGCGATGCATGGAGGTATTTTCTACCTGATGAATTTCTGTAGGAGGAGATCCCACCTTCCATTAACTAGGTTAAAAACAATTATATATAACATATATGTATATGTATTTACATGTATATATATTTTTACATGTATATATTTATATGTATTTACATATATATTTTTTTTACAGTTATTTTACATCTAGCCTAGAAAGAAGGCTTCAGACCTAGTCCCATCTCACACCTTGTAAATATTGTTATTAAGAAATACTAGGTCTGAGCATCTATTCCAGCTTGGGGATGGTAATGATAGTAGCAATATTCAGTTTCTAGGGGTGGCCATGACTCTGGTTCCAGCCCCACGCCTGCTTCCCAGTACTGTCAGAGGACTGCTAGGGTTCAAACTGATACTGCTTGGGATGTTCTCGCTGGACCGGTGTTGTATGTGATTTTTTTTCTGCACAACTTTCCTTATTCTTGCCCATGCTTCTCAGCCTGGTTCTTGAATTTTCCTGGCAATGCAGTGAGCCATACAGTGTTCGTTATTTTTTTTTCATAATTTTTTAAACCCAAATTAATAAGAATTGATTTCTAATACTCATTGTAAATAACTCATTGATATATCAGAGTGAAGCATAATTTTTATTTTACTTTATTTTATTTGTTTAAAATGACTTGCTCTTGTGATAATTTGGTATATGGCCAAATATTTTATTTAATATCATCCCAGGTATTTGGTACATTGTGTCCTTCTGTGTAACTTACTGCGTTCTATATACTCTACTGCTTATACACAGGGATACACCTTAACTGTAGATAGAATTGACATGGTTTTAATCACAAAATATATCAAAGGTATACATTTCCAAATTCAGTTATTTTTGTTCATTTTTAATTTTATTATGTCACTAATAAAAAGCCAGGTGATTTTTTAACACAATTTTGTAGAATTAATTAGGACAAATTATAGTTCATTTCAACTATCCTAATTAATTTTTACTTGTGCTATAGTGTTAAAATACTTTGTGGGCATTTGGTGTGCACTCTTTGCTAAACGAGGAAGTATAACCTTATCACTAGTTAACATATCAAATGTCTAACTAAATTTAGCTGAGATTTGTCCTATTATGTAAGTTCCCACTTATCCAAGTTGACTCCCATTAGCAACTGTGCCATAATGGCTTGTGGGAAGGCTGAACAGAAAATTGAATTAATGCAAGCCATTTCTCAATCATTTCTCATTCTCATAAAATGATTAAAGCTGATGTAAGAGGGCTCATTAAAACGGAAAACATTAAGCTCATTAAAAAGCCATTAAACCACTCACTTCTCTCATTTATTTTATCATAACCTTATTTAGCCATTGTTTAAAAGTCACTGCACCCCAAATTTCTTTCTTATTATTGGGGAAATGTTATCTGAAACGTATACTCTGGCTATGTGGCCATTTCAAGATCAAACTCATTAGATGTTATTTTTGCTTTATTTCTAACTCTTTGAGGTTAGCCTCTGACTACAGAAACTAGAAATCAGCTAACAATAGTCAATTGAAGTGGATTTACCTTTCAATATTTATTTTAGCTATATTTAATCTGCACAAAATTTCTTAATATTTTAACTTTGCATTGTTTAAACTTGAAGCTGAATTACTACTTATACAAGCAAAGTGAATGTTCATTAGTCGTTGTATGATAATAGTGTGATTTTTTTTCTTTTGTTAAATAGCAATAATTTCTATTTTCAAAAAAAAATAAAAGATCTACTTTTCTGTCAGGGGAACCAGCCCCCAGTATTTCAACATAGGTTCTTTTCTATTTTCCCTAAGTGTTGGCTTGTCTGAGAAATAAAGAGAAAGAGTACAAAAGAGAAATTTTACAGCTGGGTCTCCGGGGGTGACATCACATGTCGGCAGGTTCCGTGATGCCCCCAAGCCGCAAAACCGGCAAGTTTTTATTAGCAGTTTTCAAAGGGGAGGGAGTGTACGAATAGGGTGTGGGTCACAGAGATTACATGCTTCAAGGGCAATAAAATATCACAAGGCAAATTGGGGCAGAGCAAGATCACAAGGCCAAGGTGAAATTAGAATTACTAATGAGGTTCCGTGTCCTGCTGTGCACGCATTGTCATTGATAAACATGGAAACAGGGTTCAAGAGCAGAGAACCAGTCTGACTAGAATTCGCCAGTCTGGAATTTCATAATCCTAGCAAGCCTGGGGGCGCTGCAGGAGACCAGGGTGTATTTTATCCCTATGTTCCACTGCATAAGACAGATACTCCCAGAGTGGCCATTTTAGAGGCCTCCCCTTGGGAATGCATTCTTTTCCCAGGGCTGTTCCTTGCTGAGAAAAAGAATTCAGTGATATTTCTCCTATTCACTTCTGCAAGAAGAGAAATATGACTCTGTTCTTCCTGGCCCCGCAGGTAGTCAGGCCTTATGGTTATCTCCCTTGTTCCCTGAAAATCGCTGTTATCCTGTTCTTTTAGGATGCCCAGATTTCATATTGTTCAAACACACATGTTTTACAAACAATTTGTACAGATAACACAATCATCCCAGGGTCCTGAAGTGACATACATCCTCAGTTTTTGAAGATGACGGGATTAAGAGATTAAAGTAAAGACAGGCATAGGAAATTATAAGAGTATTGATTGGGGAAGTGATAAATGTCCATGAAATCTTCACAATTTATGTTCAGAGATTGCAGTAAAGACAGGCGTAAGAAATTATAAAAGTATTAATTTGGGGAACTAATAAATGTCCATGTCCATGAAATCTTCACAATTTATGTTCTTCTGCGTGGCTTCAGCTGGTCCCTCTGTTCAGGGTCCCTGACTTCCTGCAACACTCTTGGAAAAATACATCTTCATGTGAGATTTCAGCTTGAGCTTTAACTATGATACAATTCAGTTGCTAACAGGTTTTCTGTTTTTCCTTAAAAATATTTCTTTAATATGTTTTCACAAGAATAGACCTAAATAAAACTAACTTGATTTTTAAAACAACTCAGTACATACTGGAATTCATATAAAAGAGAAATATATTAAATATATACTTGTATTAGAAAAAAGTTGGGCCGGACGCAGTGGCTCGTGCATGTAATCCCAGCACTTTCGGAGGCCGAGGTGGGCAGATCATGAGGTCAGGAGATGGAGCCACCCTGGCTAACACGGTGAAAACCCGTCTCTACTAAAAATACGAAAACAAATTAGCCGGGCATGGTGGCAGGCGCCTGTTGTCTCAGCTACTTGGGAGGCTGAGGCAGGAGAATGGCGTGAACCCAGGAGGCGGAGCTTGCAGTGAGCTGAGATGGTGCCACTGCACTCCAGCCTGGGCAACAGAGCGAGACTCTGTCTCAAAAAAAAAAAAAAAAAAAGAGGGAAAAAAAGAAAAAATTACATTAGCTGAAGTAATAACCAAGCCCTGAAATTTCAGTGGCTTAATCCTAATATCATAGTCTTACACTGGTTTCAGCAGCCTTTGTCCACCTTGCAACTCTTTCTGAAAGGCGGTGGACATGGTGATGTTCTGACCACACCTCCCTTTGAGGAAGGACTCTTGTCCTCCAAAACTGACTAAAGCAGGTATTTAGAGGAACAGTCATTTTGATATAATGCAGACAACTCTGAATAGGCCATTTTTGATCTCTGTAACTCCTAGAGAGGTATATCAAGTGCCAGAATCTCAGCTTCAATTTTTGCCTCTGCCCCATCCTGTTTCCTTTACCTCTCTTCCAAAGGTGTTGATCCCAAAGGCCCTTGATAATAAACATCCCATTCATTAAACTCAATCTCAGAGTCAGCTTCATAGAAAACCCAATCTGTGTTGGGGACTATATGGTCTCCCATATTTCTGAGATAGAAAAAGAGAGAGATGGATGGGGCACAAGCTATCAAATGCCACCACCCAAAAGATACATATCTTTTCTGCTCACAGGCTATTGGTCAAAATTAGTCATAAGGCACCAAATGAACTGTAAGGCAGACTGTGGAAAGGTGGGAGAACATAGAACTCTTGTTGACCACAGTCTCTACCATGATACCCAAGCTCAAATGCCATTTTTGATACAGTGAAACATTAATCATTGTAGTTATTACAGAACCATTTTTATTTGTAGCCAAATCTTTTGGATTTTCATAAAAAATATTTTTGTCCATTTCTTCTTTGATGACTTAACTTATTCTTTGTATGTTACATATTTTCTATCACAATATTTCTACTGCAGTCTTGACTTATGTGTGAAGAAGAGTTGAAAACCAATGACTTGATTTTTTTCTATATTAAGTAATAGTCTCATTGGTTGACATTATAACTACATAGAATCCACATTTGATATTTTGTTAGAGTATGTCCCCCCTCTGCCAAATCAGTGAACCAAATGTTGTGTTGTGGCATAGGCAAAATAATAAGTACAATCTTAATGATCTTAATAACAAAAGAGACAAAAATGATAAATATTACGAGGAACTAACTGTGTGATATGCCACAATTGTAAAGGTAGGTGTTATCATTATCCTTATTTTATTAGGAGTAATGGAGTCATTGAGAAATTAGAAAACTTGTGCAATGTCACCACCTAGTAAGGATAACTGGGGCTAAAATGTATATCCAACTGTCTCCAAAGCCTGTGTTCTTAACTACTGTGCTAGACTTGTTGAGAGAGTCAGTCCTTAAATGTTTTTCTTCAACATTTTGTTCCATTAGTTCCTCACCCTATTTTAGATAAAAGAGGGGTGAATTGGTCAAATAATATACTGTGGCTCAATAATACCTATATATAACGTATGTGTATGTGTACTTATATTTCACTGATACTCTAGTATAATTTTGCTTTGTGAAATAGATACTTCCCCAGATAAAGTCACCATATAGCTAAATGCCATTAAACACTGCATATATCTCAAAATATCTAAACTCAAAACTATGGGCTGGGAGTTAACTTAGAAAATGCATTAGTCTAGAAAAATACCTGCCAAGTAAACAACATGCCGATTTTCCCCACTCAAATGAGTCTAGAGTTGTTGCTAATAAATTTTTGTTCTATATCCTTGAGTAATTTGAGATATCCATTATGTGATTTGACTTTTACAAATGAAATAACACTAATACTGGTATTTTATTTTACTGATGTTATACTGATACTGTCACTGATGTTAGTAACATTAATGCTGATGTTTCTGTGTAAAATGTAAGGAGTTTAATTACATGTCTAAATGAATTAAAGTACATTTCTTAATTTGAATGATTAAAAAATGAACTTGCACTTTGAAGAAAAGTTTATGCAAAGAGGTTGAAAATCATTTGGAAAGTCCTAGAACACCACAAGTGGATCTACTTCAAGGACAATTCAGCATAATTAAACTTAGAATAGATGCATAAAAATCAGACACCTAATCATTAGTTTCTAAGGATAGATTTTTAGAATCAAGAGACGTGTATACTCCGATTTTTCTGATCAGTGCACTCTCTTTGTATAAATCTACATGGAAATTTGAATATAATCAAAAGTTGGTCTGGTGAACATGGTATAACATAGATAAATCAACTAAATGATATTAATGGCTCTCGCTGACTAACATCGCTTAATGAATCCAACTCTACCTTCCATCCCAATAGATATGCTGGCTCCTATTCAGGTCATCCTCTTCCCAGAACTAGGCTAGACACATTGTCAAAGCTAACTTCTTTTATGCTCCACTTCTAGGCCCCATTGCTTTCCAACCACACACATACAAAGACACACGTTCACACAAAGTGTTAACCTCTATTTGAGTGTGTTCATAATTTCAAATTAATTAATCTAAACCCTTCTGGAAGGCATTCATTCTCTTCAAAGTTTCAATGCATAATTCTTCTTTGCCACTGCATATTAGTATTATAGTTAAATTAATATTACATATATCCAACATTTATTAACATTTATCCTAATGCATCTTACAAGCAGTGAAACAAGAATTCAAACTTACTGTTTCTGATGACCAAAAGTAATTACTTAACAATTTTACTGTACTACATCTCCATTTATTTTATACCCTTAAAAAAAGTCATTTATACCCTCAAGTAGATTTTCTTATTTTAACTTTGTTTTTAATTTAACACATGATAATTACACATATTTATGGGGTACAATGTGATGTTTTGATGCCTGTATAAATTGTGTAAAAATCAAATCAAGGTATTTAGCATATCTGACACCTCATAAACTTATAATTTCTTTGTAGTAAGAACATTTAGACTTTTTTAGCTATTTTGAAATATATAATACACAATACTTAATATTATATGTCCTTAGTTTTAAATTCATAGAAGAACACCATATTTTTGGACTGTTTTTTTCAAGTACTTTTTTTAAAGAATAGTTTTAGGCTTATAGAAAATTTATGACAGTAGTAAAGAGAGTTCTGGTATGCTCTACAACCAGCTTCTCCTGTTATTAACATTTTACATTAGTATGATACCTTCATTACAATTAATGAACCAATATGAATACATCATTATTAACCAAAGTCCACATTTTATTCAGATTTTCTTAATTTTTACCTCGTGTCCTTTTTTTTTTTTTTAAATCTATGGATACCATCAAGATTCCCTTATTATCTCCTTAGGCTTCTCTTGGCTATGACAGTTTTTCAGACTTTCTTTGTTTTTGATCAACTTGATTTTTGAGGAGTACTGGTAAGGTATCTTATATAATGTATTTTTTAGAATTTGTTGAGATTTGTCTAATATATTTCTAAATGTTTAGACTGGGATTATGAGTCTTCAGCAGAAACACTACAGAAGTAGAATGTCATTCTCCTTACTTTACGTCAAGGTTACATATAATCAACATTATTTATAACTGTTGATGTTAACCATGATCACCTTGAAAATCTGATAGTATTTGCCAGGTTTCTCTACTATAAAATTACTCTTTTTTTCTTTCATGCTGCAATTTTTGGAAAGAGGTCACTGAACATTCAACACTTAAGAAGTGGTGATTTAAGCTCCAGCTCTTGAAAATATCTACATTAATTATTTGGAATTATTATGCATAAGCAATTTATCTTCTTTACTTATTTTTAAATCCTTTCATTATATTGATATAAACTCATTGATATTTATTTTATACTCTGGGTTATAATGCAGTACTACTTTATTTCTTTGCACAATTTATTTCACCTTTTTCCATTGGGAGCTCCTCTTTCATTTGCTTTCTTTATTTTTTTTTTTTTGTATCTTCCATTTTTCACTATAGAATACTGCAGACTATTCTTGCATATTTTCTACCAGAGTCCTAAAATCACTCATTTCTTTTGTTGAACAACAGAATTAGAAACCAAGATTTGGGCACTAGGTATGCTTATTGCTACTGGAATATCACTGCATCTATGCCCTCTCAGCTGACAGAGCAGGAAAATATATGTGGGTATTCTAAGGTCTGCGCATGGGGTGTATATGTATATGTGGGTATGCTAAGTGGGTATAAGTATATATGGGTATGCTAAGTTCTGCATATTGGTATAAATATATATGTATATATATAAAATATATACACCATATATAATATATGTTATACATATATATATATATATTCTCTATGTAACCAACACTACCTATATTAAGGTAAACATGAGTTCATACTGATGTTTCCAACTCTAAACCATTTCCACATTCATATTTCTAGCTTCCTTCCCTTGCTTATTTGTATATTTCCAATTCAACAATGAGAAACCTGGATCCAACATCTGCCATCCATTCACCTAATTTTTCCCTTCCAGTGTGCATATATTAGAGTATCAGAATTGTAAGCCTGAGTTCCCAGTGGAAACAGTATTATCAACTAGAGTATAGTACTTATCTATTCTTTTACTTTAGTTTTATAGACTCCATTTATTTTCAACTTGCTTAAGTCAGCACATTTTACCCACCTACTC
The DNA here is from genome assembly GCF_000001405.40 of Homo sapiens. Classification (NCBI taxonomy): domain Eukaryota; kingdom Metazoa; phylum Chordata; class Mammalia; order Primates; family Hominidae; genus Homo; species Homo sapiens. The sequence continues at coordinate 164,898,927 of NC_000005.10, forward strand.
AAGTGAGGTCATTACATACTATTTTAATAGAGTTAGATTCTTTTGTCATATTCTGCATTACTTCCTGAGTACCAGTGTTATCCTAAATGATTTTATGTTGCATATGTATTAAGATTCAATCTTTGTGCTGTAAAGTTCAGTGGGTTTTGAAAAATGTATGGTGTTGTATATTTACCATTTTGGTATTATGCAGAATAGTTTCACTGCCCTAAAAAATCCCTTATGCTTCACCTATGCAACCCTCCCTCTTTACTGTCTCCCCTGCCAATATCGTCTCTGTAGGCTTGGCTTTTCTGCATCATATAATTGGAATCACATAGCATGTAACCCTTTTAAACTACTTTCTTTCACCAGGCAATAAGGATTTAAAGATCATCCATATCATTCTATGGCTTGATACTTCAATCTGACAATCCCTGTCTTTAATCAGCATATTGAACCATTCACATTTAAAGTGATTATCAATGTATTTGGAATAACACCTGTCTTTAAAAAAAAAACAAAAATATAGCTTAAATACCTACCATTTTTATAACTGTTTTGTATTTGTTATACTTGTCTTTTGTTTCCTGCCTCCTCTTTCTTTCCTTTCTCTGATTTTACCTGAGCATGTTATATAGTTCTATTTTTTCTCCTCTATTTTCCTATCAATGATGCTTCTTTAAAAATTTAGTGGTTTCCCTGGAAATCACAATATATATTTTTAACTAATCCAAAGCCACCTTCAAATATCATTGGATTGCTTTACATTTAGTGTAGATAACTGGAAAAAGAGCGAACTCAATCTCTTCCTCCTTATGACCTTGCTGTAATTCACTTTTCTTATCTTTATGCTATAACCATCAAATATGTTGTTAGTCTTTTCTTCATTACATTTTCTTTTCAAAAAATATTTTTCCTTCAATTATTCATTCATTGATGCTTTTCTGTTCTTTCAGTAGATCCTAGTTTTAGATCTCTATCATTGTCTTCTCTATGAACTTTTTTTTTTTTTTGAGACAGAGTCTCACTCTATCCCCTAGGCTGGAGTGCAATGGCATGATCTTGGTTCACTGCAACTTCTGCCTCCTGGGTTCGAGTGATTCTCCTGCTTCAGCCTCCCAAGTAGCTGGCATGAGCCACTATGCCTGGCTAGTTTTTTTTTTTTTTTTTTTTTTTTTGTATTTTTTAGTAGAGACAGGGTTTTACCATGTTAGCCAGGCTGGCTTCGAACTCCTGACTTCAGGTGATCCTCCCGCCTCGGCCTCCCAAGGTGTTGAGATTGCAGGTGTGAGCCACCACGCCTGGCCTCAATGAACTTTCAATATTTCTTAAAGGATAGTTCTGGCAATAAATTTCCTTAGTTGTTCTTTGTTTAAAAAATACCTTTTTTTCTTTCATTTTCAAAAGAATATATAATTTCACTGGTTATAGAATTCTAGGTTTGTGGTTATTTTCTTTCAACACTTTATCTTCTTCACTCTACTCTCTTCTTGCTTGCATGGTTGATGACAAGAAGTCCAGGTAATTCTTATCCTTATTTTTCTACAGGTAAATTGTTTTTATCCTTTGGCTTATTTTGACATTACTTTTTTTGTCTTTGTTTTTCTGCAGTTTAACTGTGTTATGCCTAAATATAGATTTTTTGGTCATTATCCTGTTTGGTATTTCCAAGCTTCCTGCATTAGTGGTTTGCTGTTTGTCATTAATTTTGTAAAGTTCTTGGCGATTATTACTTCAAACATTTCTTCTGTTCCATTTTCACTTTCTTCTCCTTCTGCCCTTCTAGTTACATGTAAGTTGCATCTTTTGAAATGGAAATTGCCTTGGATATTCTGGGAGTTTTGATCATTCTTTTTTTTATTCTCTTTCATTTCATTTATGATGTTTTTATTGACATATAGCCAAACCTATGGGGTCTTCCCTCAGTCATATCAAATTCTACTAATAAGCCCATCACAGGCATTCTTGATTTCTTTTACAGTGTTTCAATTTCTACATTCCCTTCTGTTTCTTATTTAGAATTTCCATCTATCTGTTTACATTATCCAACTATTCTTATATGCTACTCATTTTTTCCCATTAGAGGCCTTCACATAGTAATCACAGTTATTTTAAGCTGTCTGATAATTCCAATATCTGTGTCATATTTGAGTCTGCTTCTGATTCTTGCTTTGTATTTTCAGACCATGTTTTGTTCTTCCTGTCTGGCATAACTTGTTATTTTTTTGTTGTTGTTGAAAGCCTGAAACAATATATCAAATAGTAGGACTGAGGTAAGTGGGTCTTTTGTTTCAGACTTTAGATTAGTTTGGCTATATGTAATGTGTGCTATACGGTACCAGAAACTTTAAATTCCTCTAGTGCTTTTATTTTTTGTCTCTCCTACTGTCTCTGGGTTTCCCTAAAAACTCTTCCTTAGAGTCTGCATCTTACACTTATTTCATCTGTAATCCACTGCTATTAAATTGGAATTCTTTTGTTGTGATGGTAAACAATGGATGAGTGGATTCATTTTATAATCTTATGCTTAAACCTCACTCATTTAGTGGGACTGTGTCCCTCGGTCTTGTGACCTTCAGAAGTGTTTCTTAGACTTTCCCCCCTTAGATGAAGGGATAGCAGGGGTTGCATTTAGGGAAATGGCTCTCCCCCAGGTGAGACAATGATCCTGTAAAGTATTCTCCAGTAAAGAGTAAGCTTTCATTATACAGAATGTTTTGGACAGACTTCTAAATGGTTACTTTTGTCTTCCTCTGCCAGAGCCATAAAGCCATGTATTTTGGCTCTCCATTGTGAGGACCTAGTGGAGTTCTTTGAGGTAAACCCGTAAATTTGTGAGGACCCACTGGGCCCTTGAACTTTCTGACTTTCACTCTGTTTCATACTTAGCCTCCAGAAACTTGTCCAAATTACCATTTAAGTGTTCCTACCAGTTTATGACTCCAGCATCCTCTACTCCAGGTAAGCAGATCTTGGCTATGACTCTCTGAAATCACTTGATATTCCATATTTCAAGAGTGGAGGTTTGTTCTTTGTTGGATCCAAAACAAGACATTGATGTTCATTTTGTTCAGCTTTTTTCCTTGTTGTTAGGATGGGAGTGATGACTGCCAGATATTTATAGGTCAGGGGTGAAAATGGATGTCTTGGACCTCTTTTTTTTACTATCTATCAAATATTTGTCCAAAGCTACCATGTTAGCTTTAGTGTTTAAAGGCCTAACACAATGCTTGCCACAAAGTAGTTACTCATTAAATATTAACTCTCTTCTCCCTTTATTTTGTCCTACATATGTAAGAATATAAAGTTTAACTTTTCACATACTAATTATGTCCCCTACATTGAACTGCCTCCTGTTGTTGATGCTTCCTTCCTGTATCCAACAATTTTTTTAATTGTCCTTGAGCCATATGTTATGGTAGATTTTAAGTCTGATACCCTAAAGCTGATTGCATCTGAAATTGCTTCGATATTATTTTCATTTTTTTCCCTTGAATTCAGGCTGTGTTGAAACCAAAAAGGAAATAAATCCAGAGAAATTAAACAAATGAAAACTGATCCAGAAGGGATCCTGAGAATTCAAAGGCAACTGTCTCTCTCTCCTTCCTCCTTCTCAGAAAAATTATAACGGAGTAAACCTACTACTTTATAAGTCCCCTAAAAACCATATGTGTGTATCAGCCATAGTTTTACAGGAACCATAAAGAGGTATTGCTATATCAAATGGCACGAGGGACTGAAAAAGAGGCAAATTTAAACTTTAGTAATAAAAAGCTTTATTTCAGATTACAAAAACAAAGTCATAAAGTCTAGATTCCTAAAAATGATGTTTTCAGTTATTCTACTCATCTGTGTGTAGATGAGAATTTGTAGTTATTTTAGAAGTCTTTATAGACAATAAATATTGGTTCTCAAATAATGGTCTAAGATATTTAGTAGTAATTAAGAGACAGAAATACTCTAGAAATCCCCAGCTCCAAAAAGTTATTCATGATAGTGAGATCATTAATTCCAGGAAATAGGAAAATTAAGAAAATAATTGAAATATTTTTGTTGTTGTTGTTGTTGTTTGAGATGGAGTTACACTATCGTTGCCCAGGCAGGAGTGCAGTGGCGCGAACTTGGCTCACTGCAACCTCTGCCTCCCGGGTTTAAGCGATTCTCCTGCCTCAGCCTCCAGAGTAGCTGGGATTACAGGTGCCCACCAACACTCCCAGCTATTTTTTTGTATGTTTAGTAGAGACGGGGTTTCACCATCTTGGCCAGGCTAGTCTCGAACTCCTGACCTCCAGTGATCCACCCATGTCAGCCTCCCAAAGTTCTGGGATTACAGGCATGAGCCACTGCACCCAGCCTGAAATAGTTTTATATTCGGTACAACAACAGTCACAAGCACAGTGGTTTAAAACAACACACATTTCTAATATCAGTTTCTTTGGGTCAGGATTTGAGCTATGGAATAGCTGGATCCCTTATAAGATTACAGTCAAGGTGTTAATCAGGTGTTTTCATCTGGAGGACTGATTAAAGAAGGGAAGATCCTCTTCCAAGCCCTTCAGGTTGTTGGCAGAATTTATTTGCCTTTGGCTGTAGGATTCAAAGCAACTCAATTCTTTGAAGGCAGTGACAGAGGAAGAGAAAGGGAGAAGTATGTCTTATATAACTGCATAATCGTGGTATTGGCTTTCCATTACTTTTGTGCATTCTTTTGATTAAAGGCAAGTCTTGGTTCCCACCCACACTCCAGTGGGAGGTTAATATGAATGGCATGGAGCAAAGGAGGCAGAGATCATTGGAATTCACCTTAAGGTCTGTCCACCATGGAATGTCAGTCAGACCCAAGTAATATTCAGCAGATGGAAAGTCTAGAAATTGCTATTACTTTTGGAGAAAAGTTTTAAGGTGTGAAGACAAACTGTGATTTACAATTAAATTACTGTATTTTATTTAATTAATTACATCTCAGACAAAATTAATGATATTATATAATAGCAGATGAAAGAAAATTGGCTTATAATTCTGGATATTTGCTTGATAATAAATTGTCATGCAGTTGATTACTACATGAGGAAGAAAATACTTTAGAAATTGAAAATATATTAAATTATTTGCTATTCAGAGCCATCACAGATTAGAAATTACATACACAAAAAATACCAAATAAGTTGGTAAAGTTATTTTTACAGTTAAACTAAATGCAGATGTAAATTGGTTATTAAGAACATATTATTGTGGAAAATTATACCTATATTGTTTTAATAATAGAAATGTAAATACCCTGGATATTAAAATGAATCCATATGTACTTTAATACTACTGAGGATGTTCAGAACAGCTCCAGTGATCTTCCAGGACTTGAATAGTTGTCTGTTACTCCACCTGAAGAAACTTCCAGAATCTTCTAAGTGAGGTGTGGTTCAAAGAATCCTAGAATAGGAAATCAGAGACATGGGTCATGCTGTGAACTGACTTAGATTTTAGGCATGTCATCCAAGTCTTCGTTTTAAAAAGGGAGCTGAATGGGGGTTATGATTCTATTAAAAGCCATTTCTGCTTCTACTTTCTGTTTTTAAACCTAAGCCAACTAGAGATTAGACTCTCCAGGTTGAATCTTCAGAGAACGACACAAATGATCAGGACTTGGTAAGGAGTGAAACATACATTCTTGAACATGCTCAAAAAGCTAATGTAAGATTGGACAGGAAAAGGGAGTCAACGGAATAGGGTCACTCTTTAAATAAAACATCATATGTTGAAAAATAAGACCTAAATGCTTTGGTTAAAAAAATATATATATGTGTATAATTTTTACTTAATTCACTATGTACTGAAATGTTAAATATTTCATTAAATTCAGAAGCAGATGAAGGTATTTACAAAAATAGGTCAGTGTATATGATTTTTAATTCATATTCATCATTTCAATTCAATTCAATTCATTTTATTTAATTCAATATAATTCCTTCTATTTCTCCTATTTGTTATCATTTTCTACTATTTTTTAAGAATAAATTTCCCCTTCATACATGTTAGCACGCAAAACATGTTTACAAATGTGTCTCAGGTTCTCTCTGAGTTTGTATTTTAAAATGGTGACATCGATATTTATGTGCAGAGAAGCATGAAGATCTGTACTATAAATACAAAGCAAGGCTTTATTATTGTGAACTCATTCATGATCAGTATCAGAGATTGTTAAGTAAAATGAGCATGATCTTTCAAAGCGATTTAGTTTAGAATCCTGATTGTCACCAGCAGTGTGAAATCTTACACAAGTTATCTCTCATCCTGTACCCGTATTTTTAATTTGGAAGTTCCTATCTCAGCATTAGAAGGTCGTTGTGATGATTAATGAGATAAGTAAACCACCTGGAATGATTTTGGCCCACAGTACATGACTGAATATATAAATGGCAACAATGATGATCATATATTTTGCTCTAGAGTTGAAAATTGTATTAATCCAAGTATTGAACTTAGTTCTGCCCTCTATTTGTCTCCATAGAGTGGTCAAACTCACATAGAGCTCAAAAAAATTGAAAAGTATGGTTATAGAGAAAGAAGCAAGAGCAGAGAAGAATTTCTGTTTTTCTTATATGTGCATCAATTGTGATATATTTTAATTATACTGTCATAATATTTTAAAATTCTGGAGCTGAGAGGTTATATACTCTGGACCTACCTAAAGATGAAAAATGAAGGTCATTCATCATTCATTTCCTACAAAAATATACTACATTATTGAGCACTCATTTAGATGCTAGTGATCTATTGGTGATGAATGAATGATTAAATAAGTGAATGACTCTATACTTACTCTCAAATAGCATATACTCTAGTGGAATAGAAAAATACTAATTAAAACAGTCTATAAATACCTGGCCCAGAGAGGCCGTGGTATTTTTCATGGTTATAGAGTTCGAGGACTAAGCCCAGCACAGAAATAATTTATTGAACAGTTCCAATATTCTCAGTTTTATTTTTTCTAATAATGGTTTCATGTTTTCTCTTATTAAACAAGTTTAAATTTTGTAACTTAAATATATTATGCTAATCAAATTATATGTCAGTTACATTTATCATATTTGCTAGATTCTATCCCATGATAAGTTGTGTAGCCTAAAATCTTTCAACATAATTATTGGTGCATTTGCAATTGAATCATAACAGTATTCTAAATGATACTGCATGCAATGAAGCTATTCAATAAAGCTTGCATGAACCTAGAAATTTGTTTAGTGTGTGGTTTATACTATTGGTTTACTGATACATAAAAATCAGAGACTCTTGTACTGACATAAATCAACTGTTAAATAGTACAATTTACTCTTATACTTTCTAATTTAAATTAATAGATAAGTAACATGATTACCCCTCTTAATACATACTCACAAAAATAATATGCTCTAGAAAAAAAATGTGGCCACCATAATAACACCAACCCATACTTATTCAGCAGTGTGTTTCTATGCATCTAGCTCTGGTTTAGCCCTTTACATGTAGTAAAGTTTAGTATTAGTTCATTTAATCCCCATCTCAGCATTTGAAGTATATGTTATTATTAGTCTCATTTTATAGATAAAGAAAATAGAGGTTAGAAAATTTGGTCCAGATCACACCTCTAATCAGAATGCTACACACAATGTATGATCAATGACAGATACATTGTGCAGGCAAGAAGAATGACAGAGATTCAGAAGGAGTGATTATGGGAGTGAGAAAGAGAAGAAAATTGTTATGGAGTTTTGCTTTAGAGTCAGAGTATGAAAGGCACAGAATTCGGAGGAAGGTGCGTTTGTGCTGCTGAGCTATCAGTAAAATTACATGTCAATAGATTGTTACTTGGGTAAAGCCATTAGGAGAAAATCAAGATGGAATCCATGATTCGTAGAGTCATGGTCACAAGCATTCCTGGAATGGTGGATTAGTAAGATTTTAAAAGACATGGAAGGTGATGCAAAAGAATTGTTCCCTTGTTGTTTGTAAGAGACGTTTGTAACTCTCTCCTATCCCAGCTTGTAAAGGAATTTTACCTCTGTTAGATATGTTTGAAACTAGAAAATCATCTCTTGGGTTGACAACCTATACTTGGGCCTAGGACAGTGGTCTCTCCTGCCAATGGGAAGAATCAGACCTCTTCTATCTTGATATATTATGGTCCTCTCAGTGCTTTCAGTGCAGGTTTCACACACATCCCTGGGGATGAAAGATGAAATAGCAATGATACCTATAGATGCTTCACAAAAGATACAGAGTAAATCAGGACTCTTATTCAACACAAGTAATTAGAGCGAGACAGCTTCATAAATGTTATCTCTGAGTTTACATTCAAGATAACAGGTGGCCAATACTTTTCACCCAACCCAGTATCATAGAACCTACAGACAAAGCATGTTATTGAGGCAAGGAATAAAATAATGGAGAGATGATACCAATAATTTGAACTGATATTGCTAGCTTTATGCTGCATTCATTCTAAATTCTTCTGGGTTTCCCAAATTCTCAATATTGGTGGGGAAACAAACAAACAAACAAAAACCAAACACCAAAACAAAACAAAAACACTTAACTGGCTTTCATTGATTTTGAGTAACTCCATCAAATCCACTTAAACTCATCACTTGCCTTAGTTGGAAAAAAATAGTGTTAATAATGTCTCATCAAAGGTAAATACTGCACACATCCTTAATCATCTTCTCATTTTCTGTGTTTTTGTAGTTCTTTTAATTTTAAGTCATTTCTTATCTTTTTACTGCAGGGCAATACATGCCGACACACTTCTTGAGATGAGAGCAGGAATCCCTATTCTATTATGGCGGTTGTGCATAAGCCAAATTGTGCTGTAATTTATCACTTTCTTAATATTCCTAAGGTTTCTATTTTTTCTACTTTGTTATTCAGTATACTTTTAGAGTGCTTCCTTGGTTTCTTGTGCTTAATATAACTGGACATTTATTCTTATGCTTCATAAGAATGTGAGACACAAAACAAGTTATAAAAACTTTGCAGACTAGAAAGTGGTTCTTAAGGGTGGCGTGGTGGCTCATGCCTGTAATCCCAGCAATTTGGGAGGCCAAGGCAGGTGGATCATCTGAGGTGAGGGGTTCGAGACCAGCCTGGCCATCATGGTGAAACCCCATCTCTACTAAAAATACAGAATTAGCCGGGCGTGGTGGCACACACCTGTAGTCCCAGCTCCTCGGAAGGCTGAGGCAGCAGAATCCCTTGAACCCAGGAGGCACAAGTTGCAGTTAGCTGAGATCATGTCACTGCATTCCAGCCTGGGGGACAGAGCGAGACTCCATCTCAAAAAAAAAAAAAAAAAAAGTGGTACTTAAATACTTAATTAATAATTCTGTAGCTCAGAGAAATAAAAAAGAACTTCAAGCACACATTTCTAAGTGAATTATCTTCTCTCTCTAAAGCTTTCTAAATAGATGGCACCTTTGGATTCCTATTAGGCTGAAGGGAAATGAAACTCTCATGAAATATCAATGTAAAAGTCATAGTATAAATCACAGCAAAACAACAGCAACAACAAAGCAACCACAGTGATATAGCATCTCTATCTAGGTTGAATGGAACTGTAAAATGCAAGTTTATTATTTGAATATATACAAAAAGCATTTTACTTTAAAAAGTTCTTATATTTACCACTTTGGAAAGTTCAAGCTGTTATTCTGAGGAGGCTTAAATGAATTAATGTTTGAAAAGGGTAATCTAGAAATGTCTGTAAAATTAAAAAGATGAAGAAATGGAAGGAAACAAAATAACAGACATGGTTTTTCTAGCCTTCAAGAGTTAGTAACTAAAACTGAGGCACTGTGGAATAACTCACTTATTTTCTGAATGGCATTTTTAGGGCCCCAAGAAAGTCAAAGGAAGATGTGAAAAAAGAAAGGGCAGCTTCTATAGTCACAAGATAAACATAGCCATATTAATTAAAAATAAAGCATCATTACATATGCCTTTTTGTAGCTCATATTAAAATTTAATTTACAACTTGTTTGTTCTATAATAAATTGTCAATATAGCAAAAATGCTAAGTCAACAATCTAGTTATATATTCAATGTATAAATATGGTTAACTTCTCCGTTGAGAAAAACTTAGAAACTTCTTTATTAAAATGAAACCAGTCGGACATTGCTTTTCTACTTTATTTAATTTAAAGGAAAAATATAAACTTAATGTATTCTTTTAAGGAGGATTTCCTAAAATATTGGGCATAGTTATGTGAACTCTATACATTTAGTCTGCTGTTATTGTTCTTGTTTATACCACAGAGAAAGGTATATGTACATTATGGTGGACCAGTAATTTCAATAATGAAAAAAAAGAAAATATAAGCAATTAATACCTAATAGATGGTTTTAATTAGCTTACAGCAGGTCTTAATATTAATGAAAAAATAAAATCATATTGTTGTTGTACATTGACTACAATTCAAACAAATATTATTGTATTTGTTTAGAAATAATACGTTTTAATAAGTATATTTAATAGGTGGATATAAATGTCTTATTTGGTGCTTTTAGAAAAGAAAGAAAAATTCTTAAACCTAGCAAAATAAACAGAGTATATTAAGATATTTCTTCTTTAACCTGTATCAAAGTGACAAAGGAAGAGATTTGGAATCATAAAAGGAACAATCATAAAGGTGAGATCCTAATTTACTTTCCAGTTTCATTTCAACTTAGTTCTTCATTGCTGCAAGGCATAAAAGTTATTGAATTTTACTACATTCACCTCAAACTAGTTTTCTATCAAACAGAATATCAGTGGAACAACTCTGCAGAGCTCTCTACATGAAATTGTCCTTTTGTATGTCTCATAATCGGTGGCGATGTGGCCAAGCATCTGGTGGTGACAAGCAGATGTCTTTGATTTATTGGCTAATATCACTGCTTGTTAGTGGATGGTTGAGCAGGAGACTAAAAGAGCATAAAATCAGAAAGAATAAATTATGAAGGCACCGAACTGTGCCATTATAAACCCTTCCTTGTCACAGCTGTGACATCTTATAGGAAATGGAGGGTGACAGCAGTGTTCATTCTTCAAAGGGCCAATACCTTCTACTTGTGATCCCTACCATAAATAGACAAATACAGTGAAAAAAATCACATGAGCAAGTTGGCACTTACATGGGAAATGCCTTCCCCTCAATGGAGCACTTGGGTTCCAGTTTTCTTCTAGCCCGAAGTAAAGCAGAACAAATATTTCAGTAAAAAGCAGACATGAGCTTCAGGATAATATGTACATCAGTCATGTGTGCAAAAACATGAAAAATTCAGAGATGAATTTATCCCACATTGCTTTTCCCTTGAGTCATCCTGGAAAGGTTACTCTTGTTTGAATTGGTTACCCAAATCCTATTTTAGTGAATCAACGCAGTCAACCCATCCACACTACAAATCTCTGCCTAGAAAATGATTGCCTAACTTCAGTTAGTATTTGGTAAAACAATATTCCACAGTAATTGAAAAATTCAAACTGCCTTTTAAAGTGAGTTTACTCTGTTAAAATCATTAAAAACACATCAGAAAATAAGGATTTATTAAAAGTGCATAATGGTAATGAAAATAACTTTGTAGTACAGTGGAGAGTACATACATCTCTGAACTTATACAATCTCTTAGACTTTTGTCTTCTAATACGATATTTTTTAAAGTTAGGTTTCTTTGAAAGATAACCATTCTATTATGTATATTGAGAAATTAATATTTTATAAATTACTGAATTAAAGTAAGATAAATCAAAGAAAAGGCAAAGTAAATGAATGTACCTCTCATTTTCACAGATGCTGTTCCAGCTGCATACTTTCATTAATTCATTCCACGAATCACCAAAGGGTAACTTTTGAGTTCAATCCTAAGCATGTTCTTTACTGGGAAATAATATTGGAAAGGTATTATAAGACAAGGTTCAGCAGTATCAGACAGTGTGTCCAGGGAACTATAAGAAAATCACAGTGTACAGAAAAAGAATGCATGAGAAAAGATGGCAGGAGGCAAGCCTACCAAGAGAAGTTGGAGACAGAACATGAAAGGATCTGTCTGACATGAAATACATGGAATCGTCTATTAGTTTATATTCTGCCCTATTTTAGAAAAGGTTTATTACTAATTATGAAGACACATAAAATACAACAAGTTAAAATAAATTAAAAGTAGGTTTAGTAAAAAGAGAAAAACGGCAATATTAAAATGAAACCAAGAATAAAGGTAAAATATAAACCATAATAATCTCCTTCAATACGCTAAAAATTGCTCATTATTTTTGCTCAAAGCTTTTTATCAGCCACCATGAAAAGAGAAACTATATCACCTACAGTTTTAATATTCTCAACATTCCAAGAGAAAAAAAATGACAAATTTGTAGGACTGGTTTTTGTATTGGTTTATAATACATTCCTATTATGTCATGCCAAATAGTTGAACTGAGACAAAGCAATTCCATGGGGGTGAAGTTCAGTGGGTAATTCAAATATTGATTAGTTATGTCTGAAAGATATGTCCTCATGTAGTCATCCCCATTTCTTCTAGTAGAAGCACAAGCTTACATCAAGGTAAGTCCAAGATTTTCTCAATGTATTTCAAATTTTATGTAGCAAAAATAATATTTCTATTCCTTTTGTTTATTTTCTCCCTGTGCAATGTATCTTGATGAGATTTTACTTAAGTTGGAGGATACATTTTAGACCAATGAAACAATACAATATGGTAATGTGCTACATGGAAAACTCATTTTTAAGTGACCCTTCTAAGCTGAAACTGATGGTAAATGAAAGGCCATTGTCACTCTTGATAAAAGAGAAGTGTGCATTAAAATTTTGTGGCTAGAAATACCAAGAAGTGACTTTACTTATGATCCCCAAATCAAAAGGAGCAAGTGCAGATTGTCATAATTGCAGGTATTGATTTGAAATCGAACTGTTGCTCACATGGCACCTTGCAGTTTTATCCAGGGGATGTGGGGCCAGAAATTTTTGTTTGCATGCAAGGGATAACACTATATAAGGCCAGCAAGGGCAAGTATTCCAATAGTATTAGAGGTGTGAAGCTGGAGCATCAGAGCTCTGCCCTAAATGCAAAGAAGAATTAATTTGTAAGATTTTGAGGGTAGAAGTACCCAAATATATCTCTAACACAAGGCAATTTTGAATTTGAGCTTGATTGCAAAAGGCTGCCATAATATTTGCCGTAGAATGCACATTCAAGGAAAAAGAAACACAAAGAACCAAAAGTCAATAGGCTATGCTGAAGCAAACAACAACAACAACAACAACAACAACAACAACAGAAAACGATCTGGAGTCATGGATTTTGGAATGGAGTCTGGGCTCCATGTTCAGCTAGCCTTCTAAAGTACAGCAAGGCCATACTCCTCTGAATCTTAGCAATATGTTTTAACATTTAGTTGTAGTTCTAAGTAATGTAGAAAATAAAGAATCCACTATGAAGCTCTATTTGAATGGTTATTTTGTGCAAAGAATTTACAGAATATTTTGTCCAGAGAATCCGTAGGTAATGCTGGGCTATAACCAACTCTCTGGATAGTTTCCAAAACAATGTTTAAGATTTTATTTCTACTTCCTAGTGATTCTCTTCTGTTTCTTCCATACTAATTATTGGCTTCATGGATTTAATTTTAAGAAGTATACGTATCTTATCTTGAAGCATAATCATAATTCCTTTCAGAATTCCTCAGATTGTGGATAACTTACACAACTCATTTTGTGATTTTATACAGACAGTATATATTTTGTATAGATATCATGTATTATGGATAATCAATTGTATATATCTATATAAAATCACTCTATATAGTGGCTTTATATGTGTGTGTGTGTGTGTGTGTGTGTGTATGTGTATATATTTTTGAAATTAGTTCATTTTCTAGAATCAAATGAAGGGGAAAAATTATTGTTTACCATCCAGTTGTGTGTGTGTATATATATATACAAACATAAACCTACCATATTTAAAAATTTAAATGGGCACATTATAAATTTTACATTTTTATGTAATTGTGCATAATATGCATTACATATAACACTGTTTTTTGAGAATATATACTAATGTCATACACTATGCTAATTTATATACAGAAATATGAAATGTCTAGCTAATATATTGAATAACTCGATTCAAATTTGGATCTTTTAAATTTGAGTCCATTTTTTTGTATTGTTTAGTTTTTAATAAGCACACCATTCTTTCTTTCAATAATGAATTGAATAAAGATGTTAAAGTCCTAAAATGTTATTTTCCCAATGTACTAATAATCTAACTTCTAAAAGAGGGATTACATGACACAATTCTAAAATTTTGTGTCCTAAATTTAGCTGAGACTCCTTTGCAATATTTTTGTTATATTATCAAGATTCTGGCTATTAGCTGTTAGAGTATTGCTTGTTTTCAAGCCCTGACTTCCTTCCCTAAACATTTTGTTTTGATTTCTCAGGTATGTAGAAAATGTATACAAATATTCCCTATATTGGATATTATTCAATCTTTGATATAATCTAAGTGTGTATCCTCTTTATGTGCAAAGGAAAAATCCTGTCTATGATGGATTTCACCAACCCAAAGAGCATTCTCAACATTTTCTTTTGTAATGAGAGAGCATCAGATGTATATATCTTCAAATAACATGATTCTTTGCATTGAAGAAAGCAACAGTAATAATGTGGATAATTTTCCTAACAGGCTTGCCTTATTTGGTTTGAGGTAGCATTGCAATTATAATGTTACTGAGGTGAATTCTCAGTGGCTCAGCACTAGACACTTCTTACACACTCGAGTGGGTACAGGTGTAGCCATGTGCAGCCACGTGTGGTAAATCTGTCAGAACTAACAGCAGGGGCTCTGATAAGAGTTCTCCATCAATAAACCTGCTTGATAGCTCAAGGTCTTTGAATTGTTATCATAAGTGGCACCCTTATGATAACAATTAGTGAGGCCCCTATTAAGGGTCTGATCATATTTTCTCAGTGCCTGTTTTCTCAACTTGCCATAGGTTTATTACATCTTGATCATTTGAGATCATGTTAGAGTTTAAACCTATCCCTAGCCAATGTCAGGATTTAAGTGTTTTCTTCCCCGTTGATGAAAGACCGCAGGAAATGTCACATGTGAAGATGGTATTGGTAACCATTTTCCAAACAGAATACTATGTTTTGTGAGAATAAGATACAATTTGAAGATATACTGTAATCTCATTTATTTTGTGTAACCATAATACAAAAGCTTATGTTTCAGAAAAGTAAGCAATTTAGTTAAAATTCTGGATGCTAGGCTTCTCCAGTATCTACTTGAATGGCTTTTCTAACCTCAACATAACCAGGTCTCTACTCCAGCCAGACTGACTTACACCTGACCTGCATCTTTCTCTGAAAATGCATCTGGTTTCTTCAGATAACTCCACTCACTCTCCATACCATACCCCTACCACTGATATTTCCTAGCCCATGACCTTAATGTAACCCATGCAAATATACCTTTGAGAACTAATGACTGAAAGTTATTAATTTATAACCTTTCCAGTTTAAGATCCTAGACTTTTCCTGCAATTTTGAGCAAAGGCAATGCATGCTCACCCACTAGTTTCATGATTTTAAAGAACAAATATTATATTTAAATTCAGCTTACATATTGTAGAGATTATTTTAATGGCCATTCAATATGTAAACAATTTATAAACAAAAGAATTCTTTAATCCAGTTGTAAATAAGCTCATGCCATATAATTTCAAAATCTTGCTCTCTCTCTCTCTCTCTGTGTGTGTGTGTGTGTGTGTGTGTGTGTAAATTTATTGACTTGTTTCATTTAGTGGTTTTGCCCCTACAGCCATTATGTCAGGAGTTGAAAATGCATAAGCTTCCAGGGACTAGGCAGGTAGATAAATTGGTGAGGGAAACAAGTATTTAAAAAGCAATAGTACAAACATGAACTTAAATGGTCACAGACATAAAGCCCAGATGTTGGGAAGTAATAAGGAGTGGTGAGGATTGTGGAGAACCAAAGAGTACATGCACTATTCAAAGTGACCCAGTGCTACTCAGCTCTGAGAGATTGTATTCATGTGATCATGCAAGCACATGTTGGCCAGATCTTCCAATGTAAATTATAAGGAATTTAGATAGGGAATTATATGTGATATTTCAGAATTCTTTTATGTTGACAAATAATTCACTGTATCATACAAGCATAACCCACCTGTTGGTGAATCTAGTTGTCAGGCTACTAGTTATATCTGAGGAGAAATTCTAGAATTGGGAAAATAATTAAAAACAAGTATATTAAAATAAACAAAATAGTTATCTGCTATTACTAATAACAACTTAATTGATTTGTTAGTATGAAATATCACAGAAAACATATGGGTAACAAAATGCTATTTCAAGAATGTTCCAACCTGGATCATATCTGAGTAATATGATCAGAGAGTTCATAGATATTTCCCATACTATGTTTGCTCTTCCAGACTAAGATGAAGACAAACTTGGGCAGAGAGTAGGAGGAAGGATATGGGCATAGGAACAACTACATTTTATTTTCAGATCTATCACTTGTTTCTTGTGTAACATTGCATAAGTCAACTGATCTCTCAGATTTCAGGTTTTTGTTGTTGTTATGCAGTGTTTTTTTTTTTGGCTGTTTGGCAAAATGAAGACATTGGGTAAAATGGATTATGAAGTTCTTTAAAACAGTAAAATATTAAAACAAAAGTGAAATTATTAGAATACAATGCAGAAAATTATGTGACCTTCATAATTCACTTAGTGTTTGTGGAGTGTCTTAAATTGAGGTTAAATCCCCTAAAGCTCTGGTGTTTTGTGACTTTATGATTTAATAGTAATATTTTGGGATTTACATGTTATATCACTTCATAGTCATGACCAGAAAGTAGCTTCACAGTTGACATCGAAAATAGCAAATAATTTCACTTGCCTTTTCACTGTGTGTGGCTCTATTTGGTTTTCTCTTTAAAATGAGGTATGGGCGATGCATACTAGATGGAGTGACTCCAGTTTTAATCACTTCACTTTTCATTTGAAAAGTAATTCATCATGAGAAGTCAGTGGGGTATAGAGAGCACTAATTGCAGCAAAATATCAAGGACAGTTTTCCTCTGTCTTAATTAAACATTAATGAGTAAAGTTATTTGCAAATGCATGCTGCAGGGATGGACTTGTCTATCTACGTTTGGTAAATACTGACACTAGATGTCAAAATAAAGCACCTTAATTGATTTATACTGGGATAGTTTAAAAAGATTGCACCTGGCTTGACATTTTCCTAGGTTTTTATAGAGTAGTTTCTGATAAATTATTTATAAAGAAACTTTTCCTGACCTATCCTAATTACAGGAGTGATTGTTTCCAAACCAATCAATTTGGTGTAAATTTGACTTTTCTCCTGCTGTTTCACTGTCAGCTTAAGGAATTCTACAGTAGATATGAGGAATAAAGTTTTATATTTCCAGAAGGAATTTGCAGGCAAGTCACATTTCCCTTTATTATTTGGGATATTTTGCAATATTTTAAAAGATTTTTGAATTAATAATTTTGTATGAGTGTATTCGTTTTATTTCAATATATTTGTTAATCTAATTGCTTTACTTGAGCTAATACAAAACCTTAAATAAAACGGAAAGCCTAAGGAGTACATTAAAGTCAAACTTGAAATCTTAAAATAATGTTCTAAGTAACATTGCCTTTGATATTTTATAGTGCATGTGATATAGTTAATACTCTAAGAAAAGTCATAAAACAAAACTTTCTGGCTCTCATATCAAGTTGTTCTGTAGATATAACAAAAACAGAATTGCCCAATATAATCTGTAAATTAGTTGAAATGTAATTTTATCAGATTTCTTTATAAATTTCTCTGAATGATTTGACAACAATATTTATTTTGATAGGTATAATTAAGCAATACTTTAGAAACTGTAAAATTACAATTAATATTTTGAAATAATTAAGTATATATTACATTAAGTGCTTCTAATTTTATACATAAGAAGAGAAATTACCAATCATGCAGTCTATGCCTTACAAGATTTTACGTAGATCAGTGTAGCAACATAGCAATTTTCAGAAAATTACAAAAACACAGTGCATAGAGTTTTAAAATATCAGTATGGTAGTGTATATTATTTTTTAAAAAAGGGAGAGAAAAGAAAAACATCCCTGATGTGTTTTAGAATGGCTTATAAACTCTGTATAAACTGTTTTCAGACAGCACTGTTAAATTGCACTCTGAATTCTACTGAAAACTCCCAGTTTCCCAAACCATATGGCTTGATGTAGATAAAATTGGCTTATGGCAAATAGTATAAACACACTTCACATTTTTCCACCTGTGAAATTCTAAAGTATTATAGTGTACATTTTTAAGGTGATTAGTACCAAGTTTTCAGTGGATCTTGATTTCCAGAATCTTTTTGTCTGTCTAGACAACTTAATTGCTATATTTGAAAATAACAAAGTGGCCCTTACCTTCATCTTATGAAGCTCAGACTTAAGAAGAATTTCATTTTCCATTTGAGATTCAAATCAATGTAAGGGATATTTACCGTGTTGAATAGAAGTGGTAAGAGTGGGCATTCTTATCTTGCTCCTGATCTTAGAGGAAAAGTTTCAACTCTTCATCTTTGAGTATGATGTTAACTGTGGGTTTGTCATGCATAACCTTTATTATGTTGAGGTGCTTCCTTCTACACCTAATTTGTTGAGAGTTTTATTCATGAAATAGTGTTACATTTTGTCACTTGCTTTTTCAGTACATATTGAAGTGCCTATATGATTATTATCCTTCTTTTTTTAGCATGGTGTGTAATGCTTATTTTTTGCAAATGTTTAAGCATCTTTGCATCTCAGAGATAAATATCACTTGATCACGTTGTATGATCTTTTTCATGTGCTATTGATCTTGATTTACTAATATTTTGTTGAGGAATGTTGCATCCGTGTTCATGAGGGATACTCATTCATTAATTTTTAATTTATTCATTTTAGTTTTAGAAAAATATTGTATATGCATAGTTTGCTTTTATGTTTAGCTTAAATTTTTTTCCATTGCTGCTTTGAGTTAATTTGTATTGATACAACAAATACATTTGCTCTTACTTCTGTCATGTTATTTTATGTTATGAAATCTTTTATGTATAATCTTTTTTTATATCTTTTGGTATTCAGAAATTTTTGTATTTTTATTCTAGTAGTTATCATCATAATGATGCGATTAGCTTCCTGGGTTTAAGATACTATTAATTTGTTTCCTACTGTGGGCAATTGAGGAATTAATTATAACTTCTTCTTTACTCTCCTACTTCTTTTATTAATACTTAATTTTATTTATTCATTTATTTATTTTTCAGATGGAGTTTCGCTCTTGTTGCCCAGGCTGGAGTGCAGTGGCACAATTTCAGCTCACTGCAACCTCTGCCGCTTGGGTTCAAGCGATTCTCTTGCCTCAGCCTCCCAAGTAGCTGGGATTACAGGCATGTGCCAACAAGCCTGGCTAATTTTTGTATTTTTAGTAGAGGTGGGTTTTCTCCATGTTGGTCAAGCTGGTCTGGAAGTCCTGACCTCAGGTGATCTACCTGCCTCGGCCTCCCAAAGTGCTAGGATTACAGGTGTGAGCCACAGTTCCTGGCCTATTAATATTTAATTTTAAATGACATTATCTATTTACAATTAACAATAGAAGCCAATCAATAAACTTATTTTGAATTAGACATTCTCTTTGCATTCTTTGCTTGTATTGCAGTTGTTTTTTTTTTAAATATGTACTTTGTCAAGACATATATAATTTCCCTAAAATTCTGTGACCTTTACCCCTTTTATGTAGTTTTGGTAGTATAGTTGAGTAGGAAAATGCTCAACAGTAGACTTTAGTGTGAAGTTTTCCTAAAAAATTCTTGATTGTATGAAACTTTCTCTTGAATGATTTCTTCAGGAAAGCTTTATGAGTACAAAATTTCCTGATACTTTGAAGGCTTATATTTTTCTATAACTATTACAGAAGAAAAGTAATTCTGCCTGGATATGGAACCCTTGTCTTATTTTTTTCATTAAGAAACTTAAACATGGCTGGGCACAGTGGCTAATTCCTGTAATCCCAGCACTTTGGGAGGCCAAGGCAGGCAGATCACAAGGTCAGGAGATCGAGACCATCCTGGCCAACATGGTGAAACCCCATCTCTACTAAAAATACAAAAATTAGCTGGGCATGGTGGTGCGTGCCTGTAACCCCAGCTACTCAGGAGGCTGGGACAGGAGAATCGCTTGACCCAGGGAGTCAGAAGTTACAGTGAACTGAGACTGCGCCACAGCACTCCAGCCTGGCGACAGAGTGAAACTCCCTTTCAAAAAAAAAAAAAGAAACTTTAATATATGGTTCAATTGTGTTTTGTTAAGAACTGCTGGGATAGATGAATTTCTTTACCTTTTTTGGAACTATATGATTTTTGTATAATGTCCACAGATATTAATTTTTTTATATTTACAATGCAATAGTTTTTAATAGTTTTTTTATATTTAAAATGCAGTCATTTTCCCCAGAATATGTTTTGGTTTTGACAATTCTAGACTGATTTTTCCAGGTACACAATGGTCATATTCTACATATATATTCAAATGCTTCTTAATTTGGGGAATATTTTGTGTAATTGTATATCTTACTATTTGTTCTATTCCATTATTTTGGGTTTCTTGACTGTGACCTCCAATTATGTATTCATTGGACCTTCTTTGTTTTCTTAATTGATCATATCTTTTTTTTTTTTTTTTTTGAGACGGAGTCTCGCTCTTTCACCCAGGCTGGAGTGCAGTGGCGCGATCTCTGCTCACTGCAGGCTCCGCCCCCTGGGGTTCACGCCATTCTCCTGCCTCAGCCTCCCGCGTAGCTGGGACTACAGGCACCTGCCACCTCGCCCGGCTAATTTTTTGTATTTTTAGTAGAGACGGGGTTTCAGCGTGTTAGCCAGGATGGTCTCGATCTCCTGACCTCGTGATCCGCCCACCTTGGCCTCCCAAAGTGCTGGGATTACAGGCTTGAGCCACCGCGCCTGGCCTGATCATATCTTTTTTTTTATTTTACTCTCCATTTCTATTTGATTATTTTCATATTTCTCCCTTTCCTTTCATTATTGTTACTTAAAATATTTCTATTCTTATTTATATTGTTTCTTATTATGTGTTTTTTTTTTTTTTTTCAGTGAACTCCTGTGCTTAAGCAATCTTCCTGCCTTGGCCTCCCAAAGTTCTGAGATTATATGGGTGAGCCACCATACTCAGCCATGTCTTCTCTTCATTTCTAAAATTCTCTCTCTATGAATCTATCTATATTTATGTTTTTTTTTTGAGCTTCATCAGTTCCCTTACTATTATTTACCCTCACTATTATTCAAAAATATTATTATTTTGACATTTTTTATTTCTAATTTAAATTTTTCACTTCATTTTTAATATTTTTTTCAAAGCTTGTTTAGCCAATTTTTTAATGTTAGCATTTCCATATACTCAATGGCTCTATTTTTCTATTATGCCTTAATTAACTGTTATTGGTTTAGTCAAATTATTTTTCTTTTCTCTTACAATATATTCATATATGGTGCAATTGCAACCTTTTTCCTTTCCTCATGTTTAAATTAAATGTTATTTTCTATACTTTAAGAGGTGTTCTTATAAAGGTAGTAGTAGAAATATCACTAGCGGTCCCCCTTTGCTGTTGCCATGACACTTAATAAAAAATGGCCTCTCTGTGGCCATGCCCATATTCTGATGTTCACATTCTGTGAATCTTTCTCTACGTTCATTTATCTGAATATTGAGTCTTTCTTATTCCTGCATTCTAATTACTATCTTGTTCAATTTGGATTCTCCTACCAATAGTCTTCCTAAGAGCGAGTTTCTTTTTATCTGGAAGTAATTTTTATTTAAATTGCATCATTCTTTGTCCATAAAGGGTACAGGCTTTTCAGGAATCTTCTGATATCCTGCACCTTTGTAGGGGCGGGGCATGTAATCTTTATATCTGTTTTGTCAAGACATATATCATTTCCCTAAAATTCTGTGCACATATATGCCACCAAATGAAATC
Organism: Homo sapiens; assembly: GCF_000001405.40. Classification (NCBI taxonomy): domain Eukaryota; kingdom Metazoa; phylum Chordata; class Mammalia; order Primates; family Hominidae; genus Homo; species Homo sapiens. The sequence goes on from NC_000005.10 coordinate 164,921,019, forward strand.
TGTGGAAATTTCACCAGTCTACTTAGACTTTCTTGCCAAGAAATCCACTCAGAGAATTGGTTTCAGCTTTAGAAAATTAGTATATAATAGTAATTTTGCGTTTTATACCAGGGCTCCTTTTCCCTGCCAGCTATTAGCTCTCTGCATGCATTTACTTTCATAAGTTCATTTGGTTTGTGATTTTTCTTTCTTCTAATACCCTTGTTAAGTTGTGGTATCAAGGTTATATCATCCTCAAAAATTTTGAGAGTATTCACTCATTTTCTTTTGTCTTAAAAATACATGTAATGATCAAATTATATTAGAGTTATTTTAAAAAACTATCTGGGTCAGGTATTTACTTGTGTAAAGATGTTTAATGATTGATTCAATTGACTTAATATTTATAATATGCTCTAGGTTATCTCTTTTTTAGCTGCTTTTTAAGGTAAATTTTTCTAGAAGTCTTCTACTTACATATTTTATTCTATGTTTTGAAATTTATTTGCAAAAAAGTTATTTATAGTAAAATATTTTATATGTTTATTCTCTGTAGTCTTATATATTCTAATAGTTTATTAATGTTCTTCTTTGGTTTCCTTCTTTCTCTTCTCCCTTTTTCTTAAAAATAAATCTTGCCAGAATTTTGTTAATCTTTTCTCAATGAACTAGTTTTTGACTCTGCCAAAAAAAAAAAAAAAAAGCCAAATGAGTAAAAACTGAGGGATAATTGAAAATAATAACTACTAAATAATGAATGAAAAAACTTATTACAAGAGATTTTATAGTGAGCACCTGAGATGATATTTACAGTTCAATCAGTAAAGGTAAAGACTAGGTGTTAAATGGAATTTGGCCCAAGGCATCTTTAAGCTGAATTCCATTTAACACTTGATGCCTGGTGAGAGTATGCCTTTCTCTCACTGGGGCATACTCTGAATCAGTGAGCTCAGCAGTCAGGATGGATTGAGGTTTTACCCTGTCAGAGAGGCACTGCCTTACTTGGTTTGAAACATCTCTACATTTTTTAACCATGGTGACCATATTATGATCATCTCAAATAATACAATTTCACCAAGTGCCATGCTTCCTGGATTCTGTGTCTAAAATTTCTAGTAATCCCACAAAGTCTAGGACTCTTCCAATGTAGAGATTAAACATAGTATAGGAGCTTTCACAAAGAATAGGAGCTATCCATCCTAACAACTTTTCAAGTGGTAGATCTGTGCCTGGTTTTTACACAAACTAAATGACTTAAGGGTCAAATTGAAATAGTAAAGAAAAGAATAAGTTAGAATTAGTAAAGATAAAGGGAGATTAATGAATTAGCAAAAAGGCAGAATTAATGAATTTGCTGGTTTTTTAAAAATAATAAAATAAAAAATTGTAAGAATAAAAGGAGAAAGCAGAACTATGAAAACACTGATATTTGGAGATAGTCATTTAGAGGAAGATAGTTTACAATTATAGGTGAATATATAAATTAATCTCAAAAATTGGATTTTTTTAATTTGTAGAAAAAGAATAAACTACAAAAATTTATACCAGAAGAAAATCTAAATAGACCAATTAGCATAAGAAAGGAGTAAAGTTATCAAATAAACAAAATCCTCAACAACTATCTTCAGTAAATGTTTCTGAAGCTTAGTTGATTTCAAAGTTAATTATTTTTAACTTTTATTTTAAGTTTGGGGTAAATGTGCAGGTATGTTATACAGGTAAACTTGTGTCATAAGGATTTGTGGTGCAGATTATTTCATCACCACTATTTTCCCTGTTCCTCTCTCTCATCCCACCTTCCAACCTCCAGTAGGCCCCAGTATGTGTTGGTCCCCTCTATGTGTCCATGTGTTCTCATCATTTAGCTCCCCTTTATAAGTAAGAACATGCAGTATCTGGTTTTCTGTTCCTGCCTTAGTTTGCTAAGGATAATGGCCTACATCTCCATCTGTCTTCCTGTAAAGGATGTGATGGTGTTCTTTTGTATGGCAGCATACTATTTCATGGTGTATATGTACCACATTTTTAAAATCCAGTCTAACATTGATGGACATTTAGGTTGATTGCATGTCTTTGCTACTATAAATAGAGCTGCAATGAACACATGTATTTATGTGTCTTTATGATATAATGCTTTATATTCCACTGGACATATGCCCAGTAATGGGATTGCTGTATTGAATGATATTTCTGTTTTTAGATATTTGAGGAATCACCATACTGTTTTCTATATAGTTGAACTAATTTACACGCCCACCAACAGTGTATAAGTGTTCCTTTTTCTCCATAACCTAGCCAACATCTGTTATTTTTGACTTTTTTTTTAAGGTTATTTTGAGTTTTCCTTTATTATTATTATTATTATTATTATACTTTAAGTTTTAGGGTACATGTGCACAATGTGCAGGTTAGTTACATATGTATCCATGTGCCATGCTGGTGTGCTGCACCCTTTAACTCGTCATTTAGCATTAGGTATATCTCCTAATGCTATCTCTCCCCCCTCCCCCGACCCCACAACAGTCCCCAGAGTGTGATGTTCCCCTTCCTGTGTCCATGTGTTCTCATTGTTCAATTCCCACTTGTGAGTGAGAACATGCGGTGTTTGGTTTTTTGTCCTTGCGATAGTTTACTGAGAATGATGATTTCCAATTTCATCCATGTCCCTACAAAGGACATGAACTCATCATTTTTTATGGCTGCATAGTATTCCATGGTGTATATGTGCCACATTTTCTTCATCCAGTCTATCATTGTTGGACATTTGGGTTGGTTCCAAGTCTTTGTTATTGTGAGTAGTGCCGCAATAAACATACGTGTGCATGTGTCTTTATAGCAGCATGATTTATAGTCCTTTGGGTATATACCCAGTAATGGGATGGCTGGGTCAAATGGTATTTCTAGTTCTAGATCCCTGAGGAATCGCCACACTGATTTCCACAATGGTTGAACTAGTTTACAGTCCCACCAGCAGTGTAAAAGTGTTCCTATTTCTCCACATCCTCTCCAGCACCTGTCGTTTTTAATAATAACTATTCTGACTAGTGCGAGATGGTATCTCATTGTGGTTTTCATCTGCATTTATCCAATGATCAGTAGTATTTAGCTTTTTTCTTCATATGCTTGTTGGCTACATGTATGTCTTCTTTAGAAAATTATCTGTTCATGTCCTTTGCCCACGTTTTAATGGGGTTGTTTGTTTTTTGCTTGAAATTTGTTTACATTTCTTTTAGATATCAAACCTTTGTCAAATGCATAATTTGCAAAAATTTTCTCCCATTCTGTAGGTTGTCTGTTTACTCTGTCAATAGTTTTTCTGTGTAGAAGCTATTTAGTTTAAATACATCCCATCTGTCAATTTTTACTTTTGTTGCAATTGCTTTTGATGTCTTTGTCATGAAGTTTTGCTCCATTCCTGTGTCCAGAATAATATTACCTAGGTTGTCTTCAGATTTTTTATAGTTTTGGGTTTTCCATTTAAGTCCTTAATCAATCTTGGATTGATTTTTGTATATGGTGTAAGGAAAGGTTTCGGTTTCAATCCTTTGCACATGGCTAGTTAGTTATCCCAGCACCACTTATTAAATAGGGTGTTCTTTTGCCATTGTTTGTTTTTGTCAGGCTTGTCAAAGATCAGATAGTTTGTAGGTATGTGGCCTTTTATCTTGGCTCTCTATCTGTTCTGTTGGTCTATGTGTCTGTTTTTGTACTAATACCATGCTGTTTTGGTACTGTAGTTCTGTAGTATAGTTTGAAGTTGGGTGGCATAATGCCTCTAGTTTTGTTCTTTTTGCTTAGGACTGGCTTGATTATTGAGACTTTTTTAGTTCCATATGAACTTTAAAATAGTTTTTCTAGTTCTTTGAAGAGTATTATTGCTAGTTTAATAAGAATAGCATTGAATCTGTAAATCACTTTGGGCTGTATGGACATTTTAATGCTATTGATTCTTTCTATCCATGAACATATTTTTCCATTTGTTTGTGTCATCTATGGTTTCTTTGAGCAGCATTTTGTAATTTTTATTGTAGAGATCTCTCACCTCCCTGGTTAGCTGTATTTCTAGGTATTTTATGCTTTTTGTAGCAGTTGTGATTGGAATTGCATTCCTGATTTGGCTCTCGCCTCAACTCTTGTTGGTGTATAGGAATGCTAGTTATTTTTGCACATTGATTTTGTATCCTGAGACTTTGCTGAAGTTGTTTTTCAGATAAAAGAGTTTCTGGGCTGAGACTATAGTGTTTTCCAGATATAGTATTATGTTGTCTGCAAACAGAATAGTTTGATTTCCTATTTGGATGCCCTTTATTTCTTTCTCTTTCCTTATTGCTCTGGCCAACACTTTCAATATTATGTTGAATACCAGTGGTGAGAGAAGGTATCCTTGTCTTGTGCCAGTTTTCAAGGGGAATTCCTCCAGCTTTTGCCAACTCAGTATAATGTAGGCTGTGGATTTGTCACAGATGGTTCTTATTATTTTGAGGTATGTTCCTTCAATACTTAGTTTATTGAGTTTTTAACATGAAGCGTTGCTGAATTCTATCAAAAGCCTTTTCTGCATCTATTGAGATGATCATGTGTTCTTTTGTCTTTAGTTCTGTTTATGTGATGAGTCACTTTATTGATTTGCTTATATTAAACCAGCTTTGTTTCCCAGGGGTAAAGCCTACTTGACTGTGGTGGATAAGATTCTTGATGTGCTGCTGGATGCAGTTTGCCAGTATTTTATTGAGGATTTTTGCACTGATGTTCATCAGGGATATTGGTCTAAAATTTTCTTTTTTTGTTGTATCTCTGCCAGGTTTTGGTATAAAGATAATGCTGGCCTCATAGAATGAGTTAAGGAGGAGTCTTTCCTCTTCTATTTTTTGAAATAGTATTAGTAAGAATGGTACCAGCTCTTCTTTGTACACCTGTTAGAATTTGGCTTGTAAATCTGTCTGGTCCAGGAATTTTTTTTGGTTGGTAAGGTTGGTAAGCTATTTATTACTGATTCCATTTTGAAAGTTGTTATTGATCTGCTTAAGGATTCAATTTTGTTCTTATTCAGTGTTGAGAGGGTGTATACATCCAAAAACTTATCCATTTCTTCTAGATTTTCTAGTTTATGTGCATAGAAGTATTCATAATATTATCTGATGGTTATTTATATTTCTCTGGGGCCAGTGGTAATATTCCCTTTGTTGTTTCTAATGGTGCTTATTTGCATCTACTGGTTTTTCATCTTTATTAGTCTAGCTAGCAGTCAATCTGTTTTATTAATTTTTTCAAAAAATCACTCCTGGATTTATCTTTTGAATTTTTTTTTTGGTGTCTTAATCTCCCTCACTTCAACTCTGATTTTGCTTATATCTTGTCTTCTGCTAGTTTTGGGGTTGATTTTCTTTTGGTTCTCCAGTTCATCTAGTTGTGGTGTTAGGTAGTTCTATTGAGGTATTTCTAACATTTATTGCTATCAGTTTCCCTCTTAATACTGCCTTAGATGTGTCCCAAAGATTCTGGTATGTTGTATCTTTGTTCTCATTAGTTTCAAAGAACTTCTTGATTTCTGCCTTAATTTCATGATTTATCTAAAAGTCATTCAGAAGCAGGTTATTCACTTTTCACATCATTATATGGTGTTTAGCAAATTTCTTAGTTTGCAATTGAAATTGCAATCCCAATTTCCATCTGCTTGGTAGATTTTTCCATTTTTTCCATTTGCTTGGTAGATTTTTCTCAATTCCTTTACTTTGAGCTTATGGGTGTCATTGCACCTGAGATGGGTCTCTTGAAGACAGCATACCAGTGGGTCTTAATTCTTTATCCAGCTTGCCACTGTTTGCCTTTTAATTTGGGCATTTAGCCCATTTCCATTCAAGGTTAGTATTGATATGTGTGGATTTGATCTTGTCATCATGCTGTTAGCTGGTTATTATACAGACTTGTTTATTTGGTTGTTTTGTAGTGTCACTGCTCTGTATACTTAAGTATATTTTTGTAGTGGCTGCTAATGGTCTTTCCATATTTAATGCTTCCTTCAGTAGCTCTATTAAGACAGGTCTGGTAGTAACAAATTCCCTCAGCTTTTGCTTGTCTGGAAAGAATCTTATTTCTACTTCATGTATGAATCTTACTTTATCCAAATATGAAATTCTGCATTGGAATTTATTTTTTTATTATTATTGTTATACTTTAAGTTCTGGGGTACCTGTGCAGAACATGCAGGTTTGTTACATAGGTATACACGTGCTATGGTGGTTTGCTGCACCCATCAGCCTGTCATATACATTAGGTACTTCTCCTAATGCTATCCCTCTCCTAGCCCCCACCCCCTCAACAGGCCCTAGAGTGTGATGTTCCCTTCCCTGTTTCCATGTGTTCTCATTGTTCGACTCCCACTTTTTTTTTCTTTTTTTTTATTATTATACTTTAAGTTTTAGGGTACATGTGCACATTGTGCAGGTTAGTTACATATGTATACATGTGCCATGCTGGTGCGCTGCACCCACTAACTTGTCATCTAGCATTACGTATATCTCCCAATGCTATCCCTCCCCTCTCCCCCCACCCCACAACAGTCCCCAGAGTGTGATGTTCCCCTTCCTGTGTCCATGTGATCTCATTGTTCAATTCCCACCTATGAGTGAGAATATGCGGTGTTTGGTTTTTTGTTCTTGCGATAGTTTACTGAGAATGATGATTTCCAATTTCATCCACGTCCCTACAAAGGACATGAACTCATCATTTTTTATGGCTGCATAGTATTCCATGGTGTATATGTGCCACATTTTCTTAATCCAGTCTATCATTGTTGGACATCTGGGTTGGTTCCAAGTCTTTGCTATTGTGAATAATGCCGCAATAAACACACGTGTGCATGTGTCTTTATAGCAGCATGATTTATAGTCCTTTGGGTATATACCCAGTAATGGGATGGCTGGGTCAAATGGTATTTCTAGTTCTAGATCCCTGAGGAATCGCCACACTGACTTCCACAATGGTTGAACTAGTTTACAGTCCCACCAACAGTATTAAAGTGTTCCTATTTCTCCACATCCTCTCCAGCACCTGTTGTTTCCTGACTTTTTAATGATTGCCATTCTAACTGGTGTGAGGTGGTATCTCATTGTGGTTTTGATTTGCATTTCTCTGATGGCCAGTGATGATGAGCATTTTTTCATGTGTTTTTTGGCTGCATAAATGTCTTCTTTTGAGAAGTGTCTGTTCATGTCCTTTGCCCACTTTTTAATGGGGTTGTTTAGTTTTTTCTTGTGAATTTGTTTGAGTTCATTGTAGATTCTGGATATTAGCCCTTTGTCAGATGAATAGGTTGCAAAAATTTTCTCCCATTTTTTAGGTTGCCTGTTCATTCTGATGGTAGTTTCTTTTGCTGTGCAGAAGCTCTTTAGTTTAATTAGATCCCATTTGTCAATTTTGTCTTTTGTTGCCATTGCTTTTGGTGTTTTAGACGTGAAGTCCTTGCCCATGCCTATGTCCTGAATGGTAATGCCTAGGTTTTTTTTCTAGGGTTTTTATGGTTTTAGGTCTAACATTTAAGTCTTTAATCCATCTTGAATTGATTTTTGTATAAGGTGTAAGGAAGGGATCCAGTTTCAGCTTTCTACATATGGCTAGCCAATTTTCCCAGCACCATTTATTAAATAGGGAATCCTTTCCCCATTGCTTGTTCGACTCCCACTTATGAGTGAGAACATGCAGTGTTTGGTTTCCTGTTCTTGTGTTAGTTTGCTGAAAGTGATGGTTTCCAGCTTCATCCATGTCCCTACAAAGGACATGAACTCATCCTGTTTTATGGCTGCATAGTATTCCATGGTGTATATGTGACGTATTTTCTTTATCCAGTCTATTATTGATGGGCATTTGGGTTGGTTCCAAGTCTTTGCTATTGTGAACAGTGCTGCAATAAACATGTGTGCATGTGTTTTTACAGTAGAATGATTTATAATCCTTTGGGTACATGCCCAGTAATGGGATGGCTGGATCAAATGGTATTTCTAGTTCTAGATCCTTAAGGAATCACCACACTGTCTTCCACAATGGTTGGACTAATTTACACTTCCACCAACAATGTAAAAGTGTTTGTATTTCTCCACATCCTCTCCAGCATCTGTTGTTTCCTGACTTTTTAATGATTGCCATTATTACTGGCCTGAGATTGTACCTCATTGTGGTTTTGATTTGCATTTCTCTAATGACCAGTGATGATGAGATTTTTTCATGTTTGTTGGCTGCATAAATGTCTTCTTTTGAGAAATTTCTGTTCATATCCTTTACGTACTTTTTGATGTGTTTTTTTTATTGTAAATTTCTTTAAGTTCTTTGTCAATTCTGGATATTATCCCATTGTCAGATGGGTAGATTGCAAAAATTTTCTTCCATTCTGTAGGTTGTCTGTTCACTCTGCTGATAGTTTCTTTTGCTGTGCAGAAGCTCTTTATTTTAATTAGATCCCATTTGTCAATTTTGGCTTTTGTTGACATTGCTTTTGGTGTTTTAGTCTTGAAGTCCTTGCCCATGCCTATGTCCTGAATGGTATTGCCATTCAGGACTTCAAGGTTTTTATGGTTTTAGGTCTTATGTTTAAGTCTTTAATCCATCTTGAGTTAATTTGTTTGTAAGGTGTAAGGAAGAGATCCAGTTTCACTTCCTGCATGTGGCTAGCCAGTTCTCTCAACACCATTTAATAAATAGGGAATCCTTTCCCCATTTCTTGTTTTTGTCAAGTTTGTCAAAGATCAGATGGTTGTAGACGTGTGGTGTTATTTCTGAGGCCTCTGTTCTGTTCCATTTGTCTATGTACCTGTTTTGGTACAAGTACCATGCTGTTTTTGTTACTGTAGCCTTGTAGTATAGTTTGAAGTCAGGTAGCATGATGCCTCCAGCTTTGTTCTTTTTGCTTAGGATTGTTTTGGCTATGCAGGCTCATTTTTGATTCATTTATGAAACTTAAATTCATTTATAAAATTTAAAGTAGTTTTTTACAGTTCTGTGAAGAAAGTCAATGGTAGCTTGATGGGGATAGCATTGAATCTATAAATTACTTTGGGCAGTATGGCCATTTTCATATTGATTCTTCCTATCCATAAGCATGGAATGTTTTTCCATTTGTTTGTGTCCTCTCTTATTTCCTTGAACAGTAGTTTGTAGTTCTCCTTGAGGAAGCCCTTCACATCCTTTGTAAGACGGATTCTAAGGTATTTTATTCTCTTTGAAGCAATCGTGAATGGGAGTTTACTCATGATTTGGCTCTCTGTTTGTTATTTGTGTATAGGAATGTTTGTGATTTTTTCACTTTGATTTTATATCCTGAGACTTTGCTGAAGTTGCTTATCAGCTTAAGGAGATTTGGGGCTGAGAAAATGGGGTTTTCTTAATATACAATCATCATGTGCAAAGAGAGATAAATTTGACTTCCTTTTTTCCTAATTGAATACCCTTTTTTTCTTTCTTGTCTGATTGCCCTGGCCAGAACTTTCAATACTATGTTGAATAGGAGTGGTGAGAGAGAGCATCCTTGTCTTGTGCCGGTTTTCAAAGGGAATGCTTCCAGTTTTTGCCCAGTCACTATATTGGCTGTGGGTTTGTTATAAATAGCTCTTATTATTTTGAGATACGTTCCATCAATACCTAGTTCATTGAGAATTTTTGGCATGTAGGGCTGTTGAATTTTGTTGAAGGCCTTTCTTTTCTGTATCTATTGAGATAGTCATGTGGTTTTTGTCATTGGTTCTGTTTATATGATGGATTATGTTTATTGATTTGTATATGTTGAACCAGCCTTGCATCCCAGAGATGAAGCCGACTTGATAGTGGTGGATAAGCTTTTTGATGTGCTGCTGGATTTGGTTTGCCAGTATTTTATTGAGGATTTTTGCATTGATGTTCATCAGGGATATTGGCCTGAAATTTTCTTTTTTTTTGTTGTGTCTCTACCAGGTTTTGGTATCAGGATGCTGCTGTCCTCATAAAATGAGTTAGGGAGGATTCCCTCTTTTTCTATTGTTTCAATAGTTTCAGAAGGATTGGTACCAGCTCCTCTTTGTACTCCTGGTAGAATTCAGCTGTGAATCCATCTGATCCTAGTCTTTTTTGGGTTGGTAAGCTATTACTTGCTGCCTCAATTTCAGATCCTGTTATTGGTGTATTCAGGGATTCAACTTCTTCCTGGTTTAGTCTTGGGAGGATGTATGTGTCCAGGAATTTGTCCATTTCTTCTGGATAGTCTAATCTAGTATTCTCTGATGGTAGTTTGTATTTCTGTGGAATCAGTGGTGATATGCCCTTTATCATTTTTTATTCTATTTATTTGATTCTTCTCTTTTTTCTTCTTTATTAGTCTGGCTAGCAGTCTATCCATTTTGTTAATCTCTTCAAAAAACCAGCTCCTGGATTCATTGATTTTTTGAAGGGTTTTCTGTGTCTCTAGCTCCTTCAGTTCTGCTCTTATCTTAGTTATTTCTTGTCTTCTGCTAGCTTTTGAATTTGTTTGCTCTTGCTTCTCTAGTTCTTTTAATTGTGATATTAGGGTGTAGATTTTAGATCTTTCCTGCTTTCTTTCGTGGGCATTTAGTGCTATAAATTTCCCTCTAAACACTGCTTTGGTTGTGTCCCAGAGATTCTGGTGCGTTGTGCTTTTGTTCTCATTGGTTTAAAAGAACATCTTTATTTCTGCCTTCATTTCGTTATTTACCCGGTAGTCATTTGGGAGTAGATTGTTCAGTTTCCATGTAGTTGTCTGGTTTTGAGTGAGTTTCTTATTCCTGAGTTCTAATTCGATTGCACTGTGGTCTGAGAGACTGTGTGTTAGGATTGCCATTCTTTTGCATTTACTGAGGAGTGTTTTACTTCCAATTACATGGTCAATTTTAGAATAAGTGCGATATGGTGCTGAGAAGGACATATATTCTGTTGATTTGGGGTGGAGGGTTCTGTTGATGTCTATTAGGTCCGCTTGGTCCAGTGCTGAGTTCAAGTACTGGATATCCTTGTTAATTTTCTGTCTCATTGTTCTGACTAATATTGATAGTGGGGTGTTAAATTCTCGCATTATTATTGTATGGGAGTCTAAGTCTCTTTGTAGGTCTCTAAGCACTTGCTTTATGAATCTGGGTGCTCTTGTATTGGGTGCATACATGTTTAGTATAGTTAGCTCTTCTTATTTCATTGATCCCTTTGCCATTATGTAATGCCCTTCTTTGACTCTTTTGATCTTTGTTGGTTTAAAGTCAGTTTTATCAGAGACTAGAATTGCAACCCCTGCTTTTTTTTGCTTTCCATTTGCTTGGTAAATATTCCTCCATCCCTTTATTTTGAGCCTATAGGTGTTTTTGCACATGAGTTGGGTCTCCTTAATACAGCACACCTGTGGGTCTTGACTCTTTATCCAATTTGCCAGTCTTTGTCTTTTAATTGTGGCATTTAGCCTGTTTACATTTAAGGTTAATATTGTTATGAGTGAATTTGATCCTGACATTATGATGTTAGCTGGTTATTTTGCCCGTTAGTTGATGCAGTTTCTCCATAGCAATGATGGTCTTTACAATTTGGTATATTTTTGCAGTGGCTGGTACTGGTTGTTCCTTTCTGTGCTTAGTGCTTCCTTCAGGAGCTCGTGTAAGGCAGGCCTGCTGGTGACAAAATCTCTCAGCATTTGCTTGTCTGTAAAGGATTTTATTTCTCCTTCACTTATGAAGCTTGATTTGGCTGGTTATGAAATTTTGGTTTGAAAATTCTTTTCTTTACAAATGTTGACTATTAGCCCCCACTCTCTTCTAGCTTGTAGGGTTTCTGCCAAGAGATCTGCTGTTTGTCTGATGGGCTTCCCTTTGTGGTTACCTGATCTTTCTCTCTGGCTGCCCTTAACATTTTTTTCATCATTTCAACCTTGGTGAATCTGATGATTATATGTCTTGGGGTTGCTCTTCTTGGGGAATATCTTTGTGTTGTCTCTATATTTCCTGAATTTCAATGTTGACCTGCTTTGCCAGATTGGGGAGGTTCTCCTGGCTAATATCTCAAGGTGTTTTCCAACTTGGTTCCATTCTCTGGGTCACTTTCAGGTACACCAATCAAATGTAGATTTGATCTTTTCACATAATCCCATATTTCTTGGAGGCTTTGTTCATTTCTTTTCATCCTTTTTTCTCTAATCTTGTCTCTCACTTTATTTCACTGAGTTGACCTTCAATCTCTGATATCCTTTCTTCTGCTTGATCGATTCAGCTATTGATACTTGTGTATGTTTCACGAAGTTCTCATGCTCTGTTTTTCAGCTCCGTCAGCTCATTTATGTTCTTCTCTAAGCTGGTCATTCTGGTTGGCAATGTGTCTAACCTTTTTTCAAGGTTCTTAGCTTCCTTGCATTGGGTTAGAACATGCTCCTTTAGCTTGGAGGAGTTTGTTATTACTTCTGAAGCCTACTTCTGTCAATTTGTCAAACTCCTTCTCTGTGCAGTTTTGTTCCCTTGTTGTTGAGGTGTTGTGATCCTTTGCCGGAGAAGAAGTGTTCTGATTTTTGCAATTTTCAGCCTTCTTGCGCTGGTTTCTCCCCATCTTCATGGATTTATCTACCTTTGGTCTTTGAAGTCAGTTACCTTTGGAGGGGGTCTCTGAGTGGATGTCCCTTTTGTTGAGTTTGATACTATTCCTTTCTGTTTGTTAGTTTTCCTTTTAACAGTCAGGCCCCTCTGAGGCAGGTCTGCTGGAGTTTGCTGGAGGTCCACTCCAGACCCTTTTTGCCTGGGTATCACTGGTGGTGGAGGCTGCAGAACGGCAAAGATTGCTGCCTGTTCCTTCCTCTGGAAGCTTTGTTCCAGAAGGGTAGCTGCCAGATGCCAAACAGAGCTTTTTTGTATGAGGTGTCTGTCGGCCCCTACTGGAAGGTGTCTCCCAGTCAGGATACATGGGGGTCAGGGACCCACTTGAGGCAGTTTGTCTCTTACCAGAGCTCGAATGCTGTGCTGGGAGATCCAGTGCTCTCATCATAGCTGCCAGGCAGGGACATTTAAGTCTACTGAAGCTTTGCCCACAACCCCGCCTTCCCCCAGGTGCTCTGTTCCAGAGTGGTGGGGGTTTTATCTATAAGTCACTGACTGGCTCTGCTGCCTTTTTTTCAGAGATGCCCTGCACCAGAGAGGAGGGAATCTAGATAGGCAGTCTGGCCGCAAAGTCCTTGTTGAGCTGTGGTTGGCTCCGCCCAGTTTGAACTTCCCGGAAGTTTTGTTCACACAGTGAGAGTAAAACTGCCTACCCAAGCCTCAGCAATGGCACACGCTCCTCCCCCAACCAAGCTTGAGGGTTTCAGGTTGTGCTCAGACTGCAGTGCTGGCAGCGAGAATTTCAAGTCAGTAGATCTTAGCTTGCTGGGTTCCATGGGTGTGGGACCCGCCAAGCGAGACCACTTGGCTCCCTGGCTTCAACTCCTTTTCCAGAGGAGTGAATCGTTCTGTTTCTCTGGCTTTCTGGGTGCCACTGGGGTATGAAAAAAAAAAACAAAAACAAAACAAAAAAACTCCTGTGGCTAGCTCAGTGTCTGCCGAAATGGCCGTCCAGTTTTGTGCTGGAAACCCAGGGCCCTGGTGGTGTAGGCACCGGAGGGAATCTCCTGGTCTGTGGGTTGCGAAGATTATGGGAAAAGCACAGTATCTGGGCTGGAATGCAAGGTACGGTCCCTAATGGCTTCTCTTGGCTAGGAGAGGGAGTTCCCCGTCCCCTTGCACTTCCCGGGTGAGGCATAGCCCCACCCCGCTTTGGCTCACCCTCCTTGGACTGCACCCACTGTCCAACCAGTCCCAATGAGATAAACCGGGTACCTCAGTTGGAAATGCTGAAATCACCTGCCTTTTGCATCAATCTTGCTGTGAGTTGCATACCAGAGCTGTTCCTATTTGGCAATCTTGCCAGCAATCCTGGAATTTCTTTTCTTTAAGAATGTTAAATACTGGCTCTCTGTCTCTTATCACTTGCAGGGTTTCTGCTAAGAGGTCTGCTGTTAGTCTGATGGGCTTCCCTTCCTTTTAACTTGACCTTTTCCTTTAGCTACCTTCAACATTTTTTTCTTTCATTTTGACCTTGGAAAATCTGATGACTATGTGTCTTGGGGATGATCTTCTTGTGAAGTATCTTATTGGGGTTCTCTGCATTTCCTGAATTTTGGTGTTGGAAAAATATGGAACGCTTCATGAATTTGTATATCGTCCTTGCACAGGGGCCATGCTAATCTTCTTTGTCTTGTTCCAATTTTAGTATATGTGGTGCCAAAGTGAGCACTTGAAAGTTAATTCTGTCAAAGCTTTAAAAATTAAAAGCTCCAGGGAAGATTTTCTAAAAGCTTCTAAATAGTTGTTGGTAAAACAATTAAAACATTGATACCAAATCCAGTAGAAATAAAACGTATAGCAAACAGCAAAGATAGATCTCACATCTGGATACCATTGCATTCCCACATCCCTATACAAATTGCAATTAAATTAAAATGTCATTGAAAGAATAATAGGCAACAATCAACTAGGGTGATTCCCTGGAAGCAAATACTGGGAAATTGTGTAAGAACCATGTTAATCTAGCAAGACAAAAAGTACTGATTTTTTTCTTCTATAAATGCTGAAAATATAAGAAAATTCACATCTGTTCTTACAAAAAAATAAAAACTGCTACAATATTAAGAATAGATAGATGTGTAGGAAAATTTATCTCTTTGAACACAAAGCAAGCAAGTATTCAATAATTCATAAGGAAACATAGAAAGCATTTTCACAATTTAGCAACAAGGCATAGAATGTCCATTTTTGCCATTATTACTAAATAATTTTGAAAATATGAACTAGTGCATTTTGACAAGAGGAAAAAATAAGGCATAAAAATTGGATAGAAAAAGTATAAATTGTTCTGTGCAGATAATATGACTCTATACTTAGAAGTCTCCACTTAATTAACAAAAACTAATAAATGTGGATAATAAAGACTTTAGTAAGTGGGCAAGTAGTCTAATTTACAGAATTAAAAGAAAAACTTAGTGTCATAAATGTTTAATATTGCAGTTTTATAATCTATTTTAGTATTTGGTAGGAAAAGAACATAATCATTACTCTTTTTTGCATATTTTTATGATAATTGTTACATACTCTTTTACAGTAACTATAAGATTATTTTGTGATATGAGATTTTGACTAAGATATTATTAAATTTCTATAATAGATTGACTTTAAGAAAATTGACTTCCTTATATGATTGAGTCTCTTATTTTATTATTTTATAATAGTCTTTTAATTTGGTTGAGTTTTACTTTATGTTCTCTAGAGATTTCTTGTTTCCTTTACATAACTCTTGTTAATTTCTGAAGTATATTTATTAGCATTCATTACAGTTTTTTTTAAAGTACTAACATAAATTCAGAAAATTTCTGATGCTTGCTAAATTAATTTTAAAAGATTCCCTTTCTAGAATGATACTGTTAGATTTTTAAGTAAATATCTTCAAATGGCAGTAATTAAATACACAGATGTGTTTGTGTATGTGTGTGTGTGTGGATGTGTGCACACAATTGAATTAGCTAATACTTCCACAATAATTTGTAGTAATTGTGGTTATGGTGGACATTTTTGTTTTTTTCTTTACTGGGAATGCATCTAGCATTTATCATTAAGCACAAAAGATGTCTAGTATTACATACATGTTTATGTGTTTGTATATTCATCAGCTCATTAAGAAAGCAATAATTGGAAATGGTGCATGTATTGAAGGAGTTAATGGAATTGCTATGCAGATGTTGAGGGCAAGAATATTCCAGAAGAGAAACCACCACCGTAAGGGCCCTAGTGTCTGAAATATTGAAGAAGCAGCAACAAGGTCAAGGTGATGGGAGCAGATAAAGATGAGAAACATGGTAGAAATTAGGTCACAGGTAAAGAAGGCCCAAATGTATAGAGCCATGAGCATTGTGATGACTTTGGCTTTGATTGTGATCACAGAGTGGAACCATTGCAGAATTTTCAGCAAAATAATGGCATAGTAAGTGTTGTATTTTTAAAAGAATCATCCCAGTAATAGCATCTCTAATTCTACATTGTGTAAACCTTTAAATGATGCTGTTTTTCATTCTCCTTGAAGCCCAAATTCTCTCTTTTATATCAGAATATAAAGTGGATGATAGGAAATTAGGCAAGAATGCCATTTAAACAATGTTTACTTGACTTTTGCTGTTGTTGCCTTAATGAGGATGATTGAAGATTATGCCATTTTTTCTGACTATTTATTTGCATAAAACTTCAGTGGTCACTGGGTCTTTGAATAGGGTTGAATTGAGTTCTTTTTGTCCTTTCCCATTATTTACCATTCCAGTGTGTAAGAATACAAAATTTAAATAGATTCTCTGAAGTCTAAAGCCTTTACATGATGCATGAAAACTGAGCCATACGCTCTGAGTTATGAGGTGCAATAATTAATTTTCTCATTTCTTCACATTTCCATGTTGTTAAATGTTAATCAATTCCTGCTGTTTTGGAGGTCAAAAATTTAAATGTTAGAAATAATACCCATAGGGAAATACATTTATTGATATTTAAGTTATTGAAAACAAAAGGATAAAGTGAGAAACATTTAATATAGAACTAAATTAATTTGATGTCCCCAAATAAGTGTACATTTTATGACTGCCATCACTATAAATAACAGTAAAATAGCATATGTGTAGTTTTATCCTGTGCTTATCAGGTTTTCATAGAGCTATAGAATTTATTTCTTTCCAGTTGCTCAGTTTATAATAATTCCACAGGATACTAAGCTGCATAGTTAGCATATTGTTCCTTCCATGTATTCACTTACTTTATTATCCCTTTATTCAACAGCTGTTTATTGAGCACTAGCTATGTGCCAGATGCTGTACTTGTAGATGCTTTAGATGCAGTATGAAGCAAAACAAAGATCTCTGTCCTAGTGGAGTATTTATTTTAGTATAGGAAGAGAGACAAAAAGCTTGAAATTTTACAAACTAATGAGGGCTGTGAAAAAAATACAGAAAAATAAAATACAGCAGAGTAAGGGAGACTGAGGCAATGGGGAGAGGAAGTCCAAAGAGTTGTTTCAATTTCAGATGAGGATGTCAGGATAGGCCTTATTGAAAGGGTGAGATATGACAAGATTTGAAAGATGTGAGGAAGTAATTGTGCAGATATTCTGAGAGAGTGTTTCTTAGTAGGGAAGGAACTCAAGTAGGGTGGACAGGACTAGGAAGAACTGAAAATTAATAGGAGAAAATATAAGAACATAGCAAGAGGTCAGATCTCATAGGGTATTGCCAGACATTTTAAGGACTTTTTAAACTTCAAGATAAATGGGAGCCATGTAAAGCTTGGAGGAATGATTTCATCTGCATGAGGCTTTATGAGAATCATTCTGACTACTCTGTTGAGAATAGGTTGAGGAGGCTAAGGCTAGAAGCAATGAGCTCAGCCAAGCAGCAACTACAGTGATGGCAGTTGAAGAGAAGATGGCAGTTAGAAAATTCATGGTCAAATACTAAGAAAAATTCAGATTCTGATATATTTTGGATACAGATCATAGAAGATGATAGATTAGAAATATATTTCAAATAGAAATAAATGTAAAAACACTTTGGTATTTTCTTTTGGCTCTGAGAAATTGGAACTTTGGTGATGCCGTCAATGTGATGTGCAGAACTGTAGGGGGAGCAGGTATGAGGGAGAAATGAGAAGTTGAACATGAGATGAAGTGTTGAGACACTGAACTTGAATTGTCTTTTGAACAGCAAGATGGAGAGGTGTAGTTAGCACTTGGATATAATGAGTTTAAGATTCTGGAGAAAAGCCTAGCCTGGATATAAAGCTTTGAGATTCATTGCATACTCAGTTTGCAAAGCTCTGAAACTGACTGGGCTTTCCATGAAATGAGTGTGAATAGAACAGAGGGTAAGGCCTGTGGTCCTAGGCACCTCAACATAAAGAGATCAATAAAGAGAGGAACTTCAATACAGGCTGAAAAGGAGCAATGGTGTTGGTAGAATGAATTCCATACAGTACTGGATTCATGGGCACAAATCCTGTGAAGGGCCTTATGCTCAAAAGGACCCAGTCTTAGTGCGTTCGGGCCATTGTAACAAAATACCACAAGTTGAGTGTCTTATACACAACAAACATTTATTTCTCACAGTTCTGGAGGCTGGGAAGTCCAAGTTCAAGGCACCAGCAGATTCACTGTCTGATGGGGGCCTGCTTTCTGGTTCATAGATAGTGCTTTCTTGCTATGTCTTCACATGGTGAAAGGTGCTAGCTAACTCTCTAAGGTCTTTTTTTTTTTTTTTTTTTTGAGACGGAGTCTCGCTCTGTCGCCCAGGCTGGAGTGCAGTGGCGGGATCTCGGCTCACTGCAAGCTCCGCCTCCCGGGTTCACGCCATTCTCCTGCCTCAGCCTCCCAAGTAGCTGGGACTACAGGCGCCCGCCACTACGCCCGGCTAATTTTTTGTATTTTTAGTAGAGACGGGGTTTCACCGTTTTAGCCGGGATGGTCTCGATCTCCTGACCTCGTGATCCGCCCGCCTCGGCCTCCCAAAGTGCTGGGATTACAGGCGTGAGCCACCGCGCCCGGCCTCTAAGGTCTTTTTAAGAACACTAATCCCAATCATGAGGGCTCTACCATCATGACCTAATTACCTCCCCAAAAGTCCCACCTCCTAATACTATCACCTGGCAGGGTAAGATTTTAATATATGAGTCTGGCAGGGGACACGAACATTCAGACCATAACAAACCCCACACTTGGTTTAATGCTCTACTGTTACTGTCTTGAGATTCCTAATTATTTTTGAACAGGGGGCTCTACAAATTACATACTTGTCCTGATTCCATGCCACTCAGGTAATACATCTAGAGCAAACAAGATAACTACCAACTAGATAATGGGCTTTGGTTAAGATAAAAACTAAATATTTTTTCAAGTAATTATACATATGTACAGAGAAACAAAGATGTCTTCAAGCTTCAAATCTATTTCTTTGTTATACTTAATATGTACATATTTCTTTGATATCTTTGATTTTTAATTACTTCGTAATGCTTGCTTCTTTTTCGTCATCTCTACTAAGATTTTAAAAATTTGGGTTCAACAATCATTTATTTTTATTATTATATTTTCTTTATTTTCCCTAATCTTATCATCTCAGACCCTAGTACAATTTCTAGTACATAGCAAGTGCTCAGTTATTATTTGCTATCAGCTTTTCCAAATGTTGCCATAAGTAGCTAATTGCACAGAACAATTTATACTTTTTATACAATTAGTCCTCAGCCTTCTTTTCTTGTTATCTGCTGTTCCTTTTGTCTATCTCCGTAACTATTACCTTTCCAATATAAATAGCTATGCCTCTCTCTCCAGATTCGAACTCAATGTTCTTCTGGCCACTGGCCGTCTCAGTCTCTTTGTTGTTCTGATATCTTGTCCCACCTGTCTGCTACTTCTAAGTGCCTTATTTCTGTTGACTATTATGCTGTAATTAACCTACCTGTAGAATGTTCTTGGATTCTTACCTGTCATTAATGGACTACTCCTATAGTTTCCATTTTTAAGTGACATTCCTTCCTTTCTATATCCACAGCCTCCAGCATGATTCTGTTTCTCAGTTCCTCTCTCTAGAGAGCCAAATACTCCCCAGTCAGATCCCTTCCACACAAATCAGAATCGCATATCCAAAGTACAATTTCCATTATATTACCTCATCTTAAAAAGAAGAAAATCTCCAGTCTCTCCCTATTGTCTCTGCTTCCCAGACCGTGTCAGACTATTCTAGCATATTATAACCAATCATGAAGTATATCTTTGATGATAAGTTAGCAATTATAATTAAAGTCTAAAAGTTGTGAATGATTTTCCTTTTTAAAAATTAATTAAATGTGCACATTATATCACACTTATTCCCTTGCCTTCTGAAGTGCTTTTCTTGAGTAGAAACGAAAGAAAGAAAAGACAGGCGGTAACAAAAACATAAATAAAATTCAAAAATTGCACATAACCCACCAGTCATGTTATCCATTGCACAGCTCCAAGTGTCCAACTATCAGTGACATAATATGAATTAGTTATGATGTTCAGGATTTATTATAATCAGTAGCAATATCCATCTTACTTCCTTGCATTTTTTATTTTACGTTATTTTTTTGTTTTGTTTTGATCAAAACACATGGATTGCTTTGTGCATGCAGTAATTGTTCATCTTGTCTACTCTAGCACACACACAGAGCTGCTCGCTCCCACACACACAGAGTTGAGAATTCCTGAAATACAGATATCAGTGCAAGCATAGCCCTGGTATGCAAGAACAAATGAACCTGGCTTACATCTATCATCAGCTTATTTGTCATCACTTTGTAAAAGAAGCGGCTTTTCTCTTTATCCTGATCTTGCTTTTGGCCACTTTTTTCCACCATTTTCACAAGTCAGATATTTATATTTCAAGGCTCGTTTCAAATGACACCTCCTCCTTGAGCTTCATAAAATCTGCCTTTCCTTTAAACCCTGATACTCCTTTTACCCTACTACAGACATAGTACATGGCCTGTCTTACAGTCATCTGTATATTTGTATTAACTTCCTGCATGACTCCAAATGTTTCTTGTGTATTCATCCTGAGCCCAGAAGAGTATCTTGAAAAGAAGTGAAAACACTTAAACATTAGAGACATTTAAAACCCTTATTAAATGCCTGGTTGTTTCTCGCATGCAAGAAGAACAAATAAAAAAAAAAACAGCTCTAACTAGTCTTAAGATGTGATTCCTCACTAGCATGCTTGACACTATATTTTACAAAAGCATAAAATAAATTTATTTTTACATGAAGGTTAACATTAAGGTTTCTACATTAATGCACTATTACTAAAATCATGATGATTTCTCATGGGAATTGTTAAAACAAAACAAAAACTTTGTGTTTCTAAGAATTACAAATTCTTTGCAAAATGAAATAAGCATGTTTCCTAGCCAATGAACATGTGTGTCTAAATATCTAGGCAAAATAGACTTGAGCCATGTTATAATGTTCAGTCTATAAAACTACATTTTAAATGAAGCTAACATAAAAAAATTCTGTGACTGTTTTAATAATACTACCTTAAAAATGTTCCAAGCACTGATATTTGAAATTCTAGAATAGTAAATCATACAAAATAATAATTTACTCTTGGATAATAAGTCAAATTTTACATTAGTTATAAATATATGTCCTCAAACTCTCCTGCTGATGTGTTTTTGACAAAATAAGGCCAACATTCAAATAAAGCATAGACAAAAGGAGACATTTAGAAAAGAATGTGTTCTAATAACAGTAGGAATACAGTTTGGGAAATTTTATTGAGAATTACTCAAGCAAAGGCAGCATAAAACACAAGTGTAATATAGATATTGAAGAAGACTATACTAATATTTATTATCTTTACCTTTTTTTATTTCCTTAAACTGAATATATATTTACCAATTTACAGAGAAAAATGAAGTAAATCATGCAATAATCTACAGACAATTACACAATATTTGTGACTGAACTGTTGTAATATTTCATAGTTTAGACTTGCAGTGACATGACAATTCAAGTACATTATCCTTTTGTTACAAGTATAATATTTATATATATTTAACTCCTCAAATTCTTGCCTGAATATCATGAAAAATGCAAGAATATATGTCATGATAACACTGTAATTTCAGAATGATTTTGTATTGTCTGAATATGTGCATGTTTGGAGCAGATAGTGAAATCTGCAGCAAATATTATGATATTTGATATATCTATTTTAAAAACTTCAATAAGCATTTATTTTTATAGTTATAGAGTTAGAAAATAAACATTTATGTGAGTATGTTATTTTAGAATAACCTCAAATATTACTTCTGTTTCCCCTAACATTTATGAGAAAGAAAATAGTTATTTTATTTTTTAAAACCATTGTATATATTCTACTGAGGTTCACTCCCTAGCAGTCTCTTTTTCTTAAGGAATACATTTTGAATGAGAGGACATCCTAAGGCAGACATTCTAAGTCAGACATATTGTACCTATTAAACTAAGGCAGAAACATTGAAGATTACAGAAGAAATATGTGGCAAGTCAAACACTGAATTTCTTACTTCCTGTGAAGGACCTGAATGGAATTTCAACTGTTGGAAATAGTTTCAGGTTGGGAGAATTGCCATATTTCGAATTTTGGATTTTTCCCAAAGTCATATTGTTTTTACACTTAGAAAAATATATCTCATTTATTAACAAATTTACAATTCAATAGAGCAATGGTTTTGTCATTAGGAATGAAGGAATTCAATGTGTCTGATGAAAATAGTTTGAAAATGAATTGCTATGGAATTTTTCTTTATATACAGAAATAACTAAATTTCTGTGTGTACTTTAACAGACACGCTATGTAATGATCATTATAATTTAGATAAATGAAACTAGAGTAAAGGTTAAATATAGAGAAAAGAATAAAGAAACTACACTAGCAATTTGCGACCAGTGGTACACCCAGTTGGGTGAGGGAGTAGAAGCAATCTACTGCAGTAGGAGGACTATTTAGAATTGCTAGGACATGGTGATAATAAAGAGATAATTTATTATTAGTGAGTGTTATTATCCTTCTACATTCCTATTAGTATCGTCCCTCATTATTGCTTGTGCTCAGTGTGGATAGCTACCCTTGATATTCTACAACTTGTTACTTCTACATGAGACATAATGGAGTGGAAAAAAAATGTCAATTATCCTTTTAAAGTGAATATTATAGGTCATCTTTCACATAGAGGATTTATAATAATAAAGATCATAATAGTTTGCTGCTCTAAATACTTCATCATGCATTATCTCATCTGATTTTCACAACTGCTTAGTGAAGTAGGTATTATTTAAATGAGATGTATGGAAGTTAAGCAACTTATTCAAAAGTTCACAGATAGTAGGTGTTGAACCTGAGACAACTCAAAATCTGTGTTCTTCGTGGCCACGCTAACATGTCTCCTTAGACTTGACAAAGAAACCACTACTGTATATAGATAAAATGATCTTAATCTGCAATGAGGTACTGATTCACCTATGCTTTCTAATTTAACATAATTTGTATAACTATTCATTTGGAAAGCTGCCATTGGCTGTTTGCTTATTATGTGCCAGGCACAAGGAAATTTCTTTCCAAGATCTCATGTATTCTGCACAACCACATGAGGTGAATATTATTGCACCTTTTTAAGATGAGGAAATCGTGTCCACAGAGGTCACACATTTATGTGAAGGGGGAAAAGAAATTTAAGTTTAAGTCCTCCTAACCCCACATGTCATGTCCTTAATTAATAAATTGAAGGTTACAAAATAAAAGAATAAGGAAAAAGAGACCCAAACTTATCATATTCCTTATTTGATATATACCTAATTTTAGATTCATGACATAGAGTGTTTATCGTTGACTCTTATGTGACCTAAATTAATTACACTTAGGTCATGAAAATATCATGTTTAGGAAAACTTCATTGACTCACAGGAATATGTTAAGCAATAAGAAGAAATAAAAATTACAAACAGAAAGTAAACTTTTTATAAAAATCCTAATTTCACAGGCAATGATATAGTGTAAGTCTTAGTACATGTATCAGTCAGGGTTTTGCAGAGAAACAACCAAGAGAGTTGTTATAAGTAATTGGCACATAGATTATGGAGGCTGAGAAATCCCAAGATCCACAATCTGAGAGCCAATGGTATAAGTTCCAGTTCAAGTCTGAAGGCTGGAGAAGACCTTTCTCTCAACTCTAAGACTGTTAGGCGGAGAGAGTGAATTCTCTCTTGCACAGCCTTTTGCTCTATTCAGATCTTCAGCAGATTGAATGAGGTCTACCCACTTTGTAGGGGGCAAACTTCTCTACTCAGCCTACTGATTCAAACATTAAACTCATCCAGAAACATCCTCACAGATACACCTAGTATAATATTTAATCAAATATCAGGGAGCCATGTGGTCCAGGCAAGTTGACACATAAAAATAAACACCATGCTACATAAGAGAGATTTGTTCAGATAGTGGTATTGCCATGTTTATAACTAGATGTAATGATTAAACAGGCAATTTTAGAATGTGAGATTTTTCTAGAGTTGAAGGAATTCAAAATTCTTCTGCACACACACAAAATAAGATTGTATAAGGTACCAAGTTCTTGTGGAAAGAGCATCATTTTAACCTGTTAGTCTTCATATAATTTACTGAATTTTTTTTCCATGCAGATTTTCTCTATTATATCATTGTAGAAATAAAAGGAAAACATGAATCCATTTTACAGGTCTTTTCTTTGGTCACGTATATTGGGCACTGTGTTTCCAATAGTTACTTGTTATCAATTAAAGAAACATTTAGTGGTGCAAAATGTCACAAGTTACAAATAAATTGGAATTCAAAAATAATTTATATATATATATTTTTTTTTTGAGATGAAGTCTTGCTCTTGTCACTCAGACTGGAGTGCAATGGTGCGGTCTTGGCTCACTGCAACCTCCACCTCCCGGGTTCAAGTGATTCTGCGGCCTCAGCCTCCTATCTGGGATTACAGGTGCTTGCCTCCCTGCCTGGCTAATTTTTGTATTTTTAGTAGAGACGGGGTTTCACCATATTGGCCAGGCTGGCCTTGAACTCCTGACCTCAGGCAATCCACCTGCCTCAGCCTCCCAAAGTGCTGGGATTACAGGCGTGAGCCACTGTGCCCAGCATATTATTTATGTATTTTCAAAGGGCCATTTACTCTTTCTTTTTGTGAAAATTTTGATACTATGAATGCGGAAAATTTGGACATGATCTAAACTTTATATTTTAAATTCTAAATTCTGAAGTAAAGCTCTTCTTTAAATAATGCTGCAAAGAAAAGAAGATATAAAGGTTTTGATAGGAAGAAATGCTGTGGACAAGGATATGAGGCCTAGAGAAATGGCATGATTCATGTCTTACAGTATTTATTTCAGTCTTTCTGTGATGGTGAGATTAACTTTTAACTACTTTATTTTCAATTACAAAATTTTAAGTTGGTGCAAAATTAATTGGTTTTTTTTTTTTTTTTTTTTTTTTGCCATTAGAAGTAATGGCAGAAACTGCAATTACTTTTGCACCGACCTAATAAAACTTCCTTTTAACTATATCTCCCAGAGAAGTGACACAAAATCAATGTACGCTAAAGAGGAAAAAGTATTTCAAAATTGTACTAATCAATTATAAAGCTTCAAAGATTCATATTGACATAGCTCCTTCATGGTGTGAAGCTTACTGAGGGCTTAGAGCTTGGGAACTATTTGTTGAACAGTAGGATAGTACAGCTAGTGTTTAATAATATGAATATATTGGTCCAACCCTGGTCTTATCTTTTTGCATATGATCTTGTGCAAGTCATTTAATCTTTCTGTATCTCATTTTCTCTATCTTAAAGTGGGAGAATAATGTTATCTATCTCATGGAATTATTGAAGAATTTAAATGAGTTAATATTTATGAGCATGCCTAAGAATGTGCTTGATGCTGCACAGTACCATGTGGGGGTACACAAAAAGTGTCTGCCTGTGGTGGGAATTTTTAAATTATGAATTATTTCATAATTTATGAAATAAATTATTTGAATTATTAAATTTTATGAATTATTTCATTTAAGAATTCAAAAAAGATTAACTTTACAAAAATAAGATTATAGAATTCACAAAAAGTAGTCTCTCCAGTTTACACATAAACCAAAGACTCAGAGAGCTGTGTAGTTTGCAAGTTCATACAGTCAGGAAGTCTTAACAGAAACTCAAACCTGTTTTGCTTATCTCCAAAATGTATTCATTTCTCACTAAAGCAGTGTTTTTTACATTTTTCTCCAGGTAATACAGAGTAAATAAGAATAAAGGGATCCCTTATAATCTGATTGTGAATGAGATATCCTTACAGTTGTCCCTAGATCTGTCTTTGTCCACCGGCATCCTCCCAGTAATCTCCACCAGCCTCTTTGCGTTCTTCTTTTCTCTGAGCTAATCAAGTGACAATTTTTCATGGAAAATGCTATGAAAACACATACTCAGAACCCATCCTTTCCCAACACCAATAGATGTTTCCATCACTAAAATATTCCCGTGTAGAAATGAGTAGTGATTACTCTAAATTTTAATAGAATCTTAAAACTTATGCAGGGAAGTCAAAGGAAAAATAAAGCCTGGGTTACAGAATTCAGTGACGCCTTCTTTGTCCTCAATGAATTCCTTTTGTATCACTGTCATTAATCTGGGGTGAGGTTTTTTATCATTATAACCTTAGATCTTCTCTAGTTTATATGATAGAAGAAATTAATTTATACATGTCAGTACTTTACATATTAATATTAACACATTATCTAACAAATCTCCCAACTATTCAACTGAGTGAGAAACTCCTAAGACAGCAAAATGTCCCCACAGCTCTGTTGAGAAGTTTTGCCATACTACCCAAGACAGTGATGTATTTGTTAACACTTTTGGCTCCTAAAGAGAAATGCAAAGGTTCACTTTTCATTTTGCCACTAACTTTTAAAAAAACTTCACTTTGGCCTGCTCTCTAATCTACCTGTGACTTCAGTTTGGCTTTATGTGTGACCTTGCTATCTTTTTAAATTTAAATAAGACCCAAAGGCTTCTCATTCTAGGAATAAAGGAGTTACGTCAGAACTGAAAAGGTGAAGAGGAAAAAAAAAGTGATTGATGTGAAGCAGAAAGGAATTTGACAGGAAAAGATACAAATCTTTTCTGTTTCCTATGTTACAAATGTGAACAAATCGAAGATTAAAAATCTGTGCAATTTGCCTAAAGTCCCAATTCATCCTCAGATATTTTAACACAACCAATTTAAACACTTTCTATTATCTCCTAGGATCAAAAGAATCAATCAACATCTTCCACAGTCTTATGGGTCCTCAATCATGCTTGCCCAAGGCAATGAAAATCAAATCAAAAGCTGCTTCTATGGGTAGGGGGTTATAACTCAATATAACAGAAAATACTGCAGTAGTTAAAAAAAAAAAAACCTTGCATAAAATGAAAAGTAATTCATGCTCATTGAAAACGATATCCTTTCAGAGATTATGTGGAGATTTTCTCAATCTGTTCTTTTTCCCTCAAAATGAGTTTTTAAAATGTCAACCTGTTATTCTTTTAGAGGCAGAAGATTAATTTTGTAATCAATCCAACCTCCATGTTCTCTTCATTTTGATAACTTTAAATTATGACTTTCAGTTTAGATATTTTTTGGGAAATCAGTCTTCATTTTGAAAATAATAACTATAATACATAAATATCTAAATGCATAGATACTTATTTGCATTTTTACCCATATGAGTATGTGTGTTTAGGTGTGTGTATATATGTCTGTCTCGGTGATACATATCAAACTTGTATTTGTTACAATAATAGAATTGGTCAAAATGTAGAAAAGACAAGACTCAGGACAGTCTTTCAATCATATTTTTCAGTGTGGCTAGTTTGGTTGCAATGAAGAGAAACATCTCTAAAATGGTTTGTCTGTGGTGTTTCAATATATATATATAGATCTGGACTTGCTATCTGTGTTATTATTATGCTTACTTTTATCTGCTCAATGTAGAATATATAATAGAAACAACTCAATAAGGAAGTCTAAAATTTTAAATCTATCAGTTTTTTAAAAATCTACCAATTTTGTGAAATGTAAGGAATGATGTATTTTTCATTTCTTTAGTGGGGAAAAATCTTCCTCCCCCATCATTAATTCTGTATTCAATAATTAGCTTTCTATGATTTTGAGAGTTATGTGCACTCACATCTTATTCCTATTGGAATCCTACTTACTGATTCAGGAAACAAAGCAAGTGAAAATTAACTTTTGATCCCTTACTAAATGACTATAATAATTATATAAATTCTGATAGTAATAATTATATTTCTAGCTGTATGGCATGGAATGGGGGCCAGCTACTCCTCCAGGCTGCTTCCATACTTTGGGAAAAACATCTGTAGTTACATAAGTCCATATTATATGCACATATTTATTTATGTTCCACTAAAAACAAACTGAGAGGGTGCCAGCATGGATACTACATCGACTTTTTGTTTTGCGAGTTCTACTGTCAACCACTAACCATTACAATCTGTGTACAACTAAGAAAAGATCAAAATTATATTTATTGACACTATTTGTAACGCACCTTTATAACCATTTCTAAAAATAATGAAACTACTAAGTTTAAGAAACTTATTTTATTGGCTCACATTTATTTAATATTGGCATATGTGGTTTATTTTGATAGGATTTGTTAATTATTTTCCCCAAAGTGATGTATTTTCTAAAATACTTGTAAAATTACTTGAGGATGGGAGGGTAGGAAGAAAATAAAACAAATGCTTTTGATAAGGACAATACTGGATATGAATATACAGAATTAGATTATAATGTCTAATCTAGATTCTAACTTGACCACTGGGCTATAAAAATTGCTTACATTAAAGTAGAAATAAAAATTGCTTGAATATGATTTATAAAACATCATTAAAGTTTTTGTATTTATTATGCTTTAAGATTTAGATGTAAAGCATTTCATGTTTATACCATGAGAAATCCATGCTTTTTCTTTGTGAATTTCACTTCTAGGGTTTTGCTTTGATTTGCAATATTTAAAATTTCAAGTTAAATTGAACTTAATCTGGAATGACATGGAAGCAAAGCTTTTAAATTTTACTTTGTATAGTTCTAGAATAATAATAAAGGCTTTAGGCATTTTAAAAGTTAGGTTGGTTTTAAATAATAGTTGAGCCAAGCTTCAAACTATGAAGACTTAAATAGTTTCTTTTTGTATTTCGTTACTGTATCTGACATACTAGTACACCAATTATTTCATAAAGCATTTATATAATATTAGTACAAAACTTTATTTAATGTGGTTAATTTTTAGGTATATTATTTTTTAAGTATTTTTGGATTATTTCAGAATTTTAAATCCCTTATAAAATATCCAAGATGAATCTGATTTTTCTTTAAATTCCTATGGAAACATTTCCCTAAGATTGTTACCAAAAAAGAGAGTTTAAAGTCAAAGTGAATCAGCACTGGGTACTTGATTTGGCAAAACTAAAGCTATACACATTTGCGGTCTATAAAATGTGATCACTGAAGTTACTATATTTGTCATAAAATCTGTTCACTACAATAGACTTGTAAATCTAGCACTAACATTTAAGTAATATAGTAAATTACAGACCTATTGAATAGGTCTACTTCAACTATTGTTTGGTTAACAAATTATACAAATTCAGCATATAATACTATTTGACATAATTCATATATCAAAAGCACATATAGAAATAAGTAGTTTGCTGAACCAGACTCACAAATCTACACATTGTATTTCATGTAATTTAGATATATAATCCTATTTAATCCTCATATTATCTTTAAAAAGATAATTCTCCCTAACAAATACTTATTAATCCTCTGCTGAAGACTAAGCACATATGTAACAGACAGAGAAACTGAGGCTTAAAGATACCAAATAACTTATCCAAGGTTAAACAATTAGGAGTCTGTGGAGTTGGGATTCATACCAGGAATGTCTGATTCCTATTTCTACTCTCTTTCCTGATGCCATGCTACGCTATTTAAAATAATATTGGAGGAAGATTGATCTACCCCACCTTCTCTCCTTTGATAGCAGATGGATACTACATATTACCTCTATAACCTTCAGTGCATTTCTGCACCTCTCAAATCCGCTTACCTCTTCATGAGAAAAATCATGTTATTACCTACATTATAGCATAGTAAAGGAATTGCAATTATTAACATAACAAGTTTTCATTCTTTTTCACTCCTGCCAGAATCTGGGCCTTTACCCCTTTGCAAGCTTGTAAGTTAGCTTTGTATGGTGTCATGGTTGATGGAAGAACACAGAAAGCT
Source organism: Homo sapiens (assembly GCF_000001405.40). NCBI lineage: Eukaryota > Metazoa > Chordata > Mammalia > Primates > Hominidae > Homo > Homo sapiens. Next base: position 164,950,947 of record NC_000005.10, read on the forward strand.
ACAGGGTCGGTAACAGAGGACTTTTCACATAACAGCAAGCAATATGCATTTCATGTATGCATTGGTTTTCTTTGCCCACAAGTTCCACTGGAATAAAGCACAGTGGACTAAGTGGATCCTGTACACACAGCAGGTTTACAACACAGCCAAAGAACAGACAGATATGGGGATATACCTTTATAGCAAGCTCGTACTTTGTCCTGGAGGATGACATCACCTTACCCTCAATTGCCTGCTGCAAATACAACCTTAAAAAATGGATCATGTACAGAAAAGTCCAGGTCTTGATTTCTTGGCTACTTCACCAAGAATATGCAAGAACGGTCAAGGCCATGACAAGTGACACCTCTCAACAACTCCTTCATATCCTCCATTAAGTCTTTGCCAATCTCATATTATATTCACACCCAACTTTCATTCAATTCTTTCTTTTTCTACTCCCCTGGCAGAATTATCTGTCTACACTGCCTGTGCACTCAGGCATTGAAAATGACTTGAGAGAAAACAAAATATAAAATATTAACAAACAAACACAAAATAAAGCCATGACGTTTTACAGGTGCAGTATTTATAATTCACATTTGGACTCATTCAGGACTTTATTTCACACCTTGTTTCTCACTTTTTAAAGCAAAGCATTTATTCCCTTACTCATTCTTAGCTGATTAACCTGTTTTTTATTTCACTTAGAAAACAGAAGCAATGAGAATAGGTCTTCCAAAGGTTTCCACAGCCACACGAACTAACATAATAACAGATGTGCCAGTAACCTCTGTCATCACTTCTGTTATTATGGATGAGCTGTCTGTGCTCCTTGCTAAGGCTAAAACCTTCCCTTATGGACTGAATCCAGTCTCCTCCAGACTGTGCAAGGACATGGTTCAATTGCCTGCCTCTCTCTTTCCTGCATCAACGATTCCCTCTCTACTGGACAACTTTCATAAGCATGCAACCACACTATAAGGTCTATCATCCAAAAAAAACAAGTAACATTCCATAAACTTATAGAAGACTCAAGGCTTACTTTATTTCCCTTGTGCTGATGGGACCCTCAGCCCTGTCCCCAAAGTAATCACTGAGTTTATTTTTGAATATCCATATATGTGCTGTTAGAAAGAAAGGACCGTATATTCTGAGAACAATTGGCTACACGAAATGATAACAACAATCTGTAAATTAAATGTTTTATTTAAGTCTATGGCAGGGCTTTTTTCTCCCACCAGATTCTATAAGTAGAAAAGGAATAGTACATATATTCTTCTCTAAGAGTAATGTTCCTAGGAAGAAGGAATAAAGTTACATTCTAAATATGATATTATTGTTGGAAAATGATTCTAAAATGTTTAATCTGATGCCTTGTTTTTTAATAAGCACAAATTAAACAGGTATTGATTGTTAAACAGAAAAACATAAAACTCCATATATAAATAAAATAGTTCCCTTTAATCAGGGTTTGCCATTCTTAAATTACTCATTTTCAAACACTTGCTTCTATATTTATTTCTGCTATTTCTTAATGTAGTCATTTTTCTTTGAATGTTAACTTTCCATATACTCACAAAACTTTCAGTAGTTTTTAAGTCAGATATTCCCCCAAATTTTCCATGACAAGTAAAATTTATTTGCTAAACACTAAAAATAAATGGAGTATTATTTCTGTGGCTAAAATCACTGAAGCAGGTGAGAAAATTTATTATGCAATGCTGTCTAGTTTTAAATTGCACATAGCTCGATATTTTCCCTCATGCTTGGATTTGTTGTTCTTATTGTTGAGGGAAGTTATAACTTATTGGGTAGTGGCTATGAGGAAACAGCAGCAACAGCAACAGAAAAGCTATCACACCAATTTATCCTCCAAGTTAAAAATAATAAGAATCTAAAATTTCATTTTACAGAGGTATAAAGATCATTGGCTCTTAATGGATAATTTTGGGAAAAAAATATTTTCTTCAGCCACAAGTTTGTTATTTTTCACTTTAAAATCCTTAAACAAAATTTATCTTATTCCTCTTCTGCTCATTGCCAATCCCTTCAACATTGCACTTTTTTTTTTTTTTTTTTTTTAAACAGGGTCTCACTCTGTCACCCAGGCTAGAGTGCAGTGGCATGATCTTGGCTCACTGCAATCTCTGCTTCCTGGGCTCAAGTGATCCTGCCACCTCAGCCTACCTAGCAGGTGGACTACAGGCATGTGCCTCCACGTCTGACTAATTGGTGTATTTTTTGTAGAGGTGGGGGTCTCACTATGTTGCTCAGGCTGGTCTTGAACTCCTGGGCTCAAGTGATCTGCCTGCCTTAGGCTCCTAAAGTGCTGAGATTACAAGCATGAGCTGCTGCGTCCGGCCTACTTGGATTTTTAAAATTATCTTATCATTTATCAGTTAAGACTAAAGAATTATGCTCCAACTTATTTAACTCTTGCAAACAGTTTTATGTAGGCACAACATAAAATGACAGCTTGATGGAAAGTTGGGGTAGACCTGGAAAAAACAGAAGCAGCATTAGTGATCACACAGAAAACTGGGAAGTTCAAGGAATGATAGCACATTATTTATTACTACACTGGCTTGCAGCATGGTCTCTAGAGTTGTGTTTAAAACTTGGCTTTCCATATTATTAATGTAACAACCTGGGAAAATTGCTTAACAACTCTGTGTCTTGATTTTCCCAAATGTAAAATGGTGATAATAATAGAATCTACCTCATAGAACAGTTGTGATTGCTAAATGACTTAACACATGTAACACGCATAAAATAGATCTTAAAACATATTAAGTATGAAATAGTTGTTACAGAAGCCAAATGACAACAGCAGACAACGTTAAAGACAGGAGAAATTTGAAGTCTCTGGCACCTACAGATACATCAAGCATTAAGCAGAGTGAAATTCCTAGCCAGATTAATAACAACAACAAAAATACTAATGGACTATTTACCTCAGTTCCTATTACTCAGTGCATTTTGTTTTGCTTTCAACAATGACAACAACAAAAAAAATCACAAGACATATTAAGAAGAAAAACAAGCAAACAGATTCTGAAGAGACAGAGCAGGCATCAAAAATTGACCCAGCTATGACACAGATTCCGAAATTATCAGACAGGGAATTTAAAATATTTACAATGGAAATGTTGAGGGCTCTAATGAAAAAAGTAGATGCAGGCAGAAACAGATGGGTAATGTAAGTAGAAAAGTGGAAACTCTAAGAAAGAATCAAAAGAAAATACCAGAAATAAACAACACTGTAGCAGAAGTAAAAAAAATAATGCCTTTGATGGGCTCAGACTGGTCATGGTCAAGGAAAGAATCAGAGAGCTTGAAAATAACAAATTTTCCAAACTAAAACTTGAAAAAAAAATGGAAAAAAAAAACCATACAAAAACTATGGGCTGTAAGAGAAGCATAACTGAAATAGCTTTAGAAGGGGAAGAAAGAGAGAAGTGACCAGATAAAAACATTTCAGTAATAATGGCTGTGAATTTTCCACAATTAATGACAGGCATCAAATCCAGGGAACTCAGAGAAAACCAAACAGGAACCACTCTAAAAAGGCTACTGATATGTATATCATATTCAAACTGCAGAAATCAAAGACAAGAAGAAATCTTAAAGGGAGCCAGAGAAGGAAAACTGACCTTACATGTAGAGAACTAGGATAAGAATTTAGCAAGACTTGTCATCGAAAACCAGGCAAGCTAGAAGTGAGAGGAATATAAAATTTAAAGCATTAATAGAAAAAAAAAGAAAACAACAACCTAGAATTCTATATCTAGTTAAATGATCCTTCAGAGATGAAGGAAAAATATAGAGTTTTTCAGATAAAAACAGAGAACTCATCACCAGCAAATTCGCTCTAGAAGAAATGTTAAAAGAGTTCTTTAGGCAAAGGAAAATAATATAGGTAGGAATCTTGGATATACATCGGAAAAAATATGTTGAAGAAAAAAATTAATGAAGAGAACTTTTTTTTATTTTTAATGTCTAGAATATAACTGTTTCAGGTAATAATACTAATAATGCATAGGGTGATTATAGCATATGGGTAAACAAAATGGAAGGCAGTAACGGCATAAGGGAAGGAAAAGGCAAATCTAGGAATACTCTAAAGTACCTGTTTACGTAAGAATCGCTATGGTGATATTTAAAGGAGAGTTTATGTAGCTAAAAATTTATAATGCAAATCCTAGAGAAACTACTACTTTTTTTTTTTTACAAAAAAGTAATGACTTGTGTGCTGTTAAATGAGGTGAAATAGACATATACAATGTTTACATAAAACCAGAAAAGGTAGAAAACAGAAGGAAGAAACAAAGACCAAATGGAATCAATAGAAAACAATTATAAACATGATAGGTATTAATCCAACTATATCAATAATCACTTTAAATACATGAACTTAAGTGAATTAAATACAACAATTGAAACATATTGTTAGAGTATATACAAATGAGACCCAATTGTTTATTATAAGAAATGCTCTTTAGGCCAGGAACAGTGGCTCACGGCTGTGATCCCAGCACTTTGGGAGGCTGAGGTGGGCGGATCACCTGAGGTCAGGAGTTCCAGATCAGCCTGGCCAACATGGTGAAACCCCTTCTCTACTAAAAATTAAAAAAAAAAAAATTAGCCTGGCGTAGTGGCGTGCACCTGTAATCCCAGCTACTCGGGAGGCTGAAGCAGGAGAATTGCTTGAATCCAGGAGGCGGAGATTGCAGTGAACCTAGATTGTACCATTGCACTCCAGCCAGGGCAACAAGAGTGAAACTCCCGTCTCAAAAAAAAAAAAAAAAAAAAAAAAAAAAAAAAAAATCCTCTTTAAATTTAAAAACTCAGGTTAAACTTAAAGGAGTGCAGAAAGATATAGTATTAGCTTATACTAATCTAAAGAAAACAGAAGTAGCTATATATAAATTTCACACAAATCATAATTCAGAGCAAGGAAAATGATCAGTGGTAAGAGGGGTATGAAACGTTGATAAACAGGTCAATTTTCCAAGAAGACACAGCAATTCCAAATGTCTGTGCATCTAACAGAGCATTAAAATTATGGGAAGCAAAAACTGTAATGAGAAAGGGATCCACTATTATAATTGAAGACATCAGCAACTCTCTTTCAGTAATTGATGGATCAAGCAAGCCAAAATCAGTAAAGATTAGTTCACCTTAATAGCACTATCAATCAACTTGATCTAACTGGTATTTATAGAACATTCCATCTAGCAACAGCAGAATATACATTCTTATCAAGCTTGCAGAAATACTTATCGTGATAGGCCACATTCTGGACCATAAAATGTACCTTAACACATATAAAAGCTTAAATATCATACAAAGTGTATTCTCACAAAATGGAATTAAATTAGAAATCAAGATCTGAAGGATAGCTGGAAAATGCACCAAGTATTTGGACAGTAAACAACATACTTTAAATAAACAAGGGATCAAATAAATCATAAAAGAAATTTTAAAATATTTTAAGCTAAGTAAATATAGGCTAGGTGTGGTGGCTTATGTCTGTAATCCCAGCACTTTGGGAGACCGAGGTGGGTGGATCTGTTGAGGCCAGGAGTTCAAGACGAGCCTGGCCAACATGGCGAAACCCATCTCTACTAAAAATACAAAAATTAGCCAGTTGTGGTAGCTTGCACCTGTAATCCTAGCTACTCGGGAGGCTGAGGCAGAAGAATCACTTGAACCTGGGAGGCTGAGGTTGCAGTGAGCTGAGATTGCACCATTGCACTCCAGCCTGGGCAACAGAGCAAGACTCCATCTAAAAAAAAAAGATATAAAATAAAAATAGTAAATAAATAAAGAAAATATAAAAATATAATTTATCAAAATGTGTGGGATGCAGTAAAACCAGAGTTTAGATGGAATTTTTTTTTTTTTTTTGAGGCAGAGTCTCACTCTGTCACCCAAGCTGGAATGTGCAGTGGCACGATCTCAGCTCACTGCAACCTCTGCCTCTGGGGTTCAAGCAATTCTCGTGCTTCAACCTCTCAAGTAGCTGGGGTGTGTGCCACCATGCCTGGCTAATTTTTGTATTTTTAGTAGAGATGGGGTTTCACCATGTTGGCCAGGCTGGTCTTGAACTCCTGTCTTCAAGTGATCCCTCCACCTCAGCCTCCCATAGTGCTGGGATTACAGGCGTGAGCCACCACGCCTGGCCAGATGGAAATTTATAGCACCAAATTCCTAAATTAGAAAAGAAGGAAGATAAAAAGTCGATTATTTAAGATTTTACCTTAAGAAACTAGAGCAAGTTAAGCCTAAGTAAGCAAAAATAATTAAATGAATGAAAATTAAAGCAGACCTCAGTGAAATTAAAACAGGAAAATAATACAGAAAATCAACAAAGCCAAAAGCCAGTTCTTGGAAAAGATCAATACAATTGGTAAATATCTTGCCAGGGTAACCAAGAAAAAAAGATAGTTGACACGATTAACAGTATTAGGAATAAAAGAAGTGTCATCATTCGTGAACCGACAGACAAAGAACAACAATGGAATTCTATGATTAACTCTATACCCTCAAACTTGATAACTTATGCAAAATAGACCAATTCCTTGTAAGACACAAGCTACTATAGTACTAACAGTAAATATTAATTATGCAAAGTGAAAAACAAATCATTTAGGAGATAGGAGGATATCCAGATTGAAGGCAGAATGTGACAAAAAATCGATTGCAAAGGTATAAAACAACCTTACTAGTGGGATGGGGAAAAGGGATAGGCTAATTGACCTTGGAAATTAGTGGAGTCTGTAAGACTAAAGGCAAAAGAAACTACACATAAGGACTCTACATTTGCTTGTAAAGTTCTCATGGTAATATGAGTTAACAATTCCGATACTACTATTATGTGTATACTGGAAATGGACAAGTAAGTAAATAGATGGCAGATAGTAGGAGCCAGGTTCTCACTGTTGGAGTGGGAGTTTACAGATAAGCAAGAGAAGAAGGTTCAAATAATCTATGTGGCAATAAATTAGAATTGGAGATAGCAACATGAACTGATGTTCTATTTAATGGGGATGCGACTGACTATATATATAGAAATATTTATAAATCCACAGTTTAGTATACACGCATATATTTCCTTGCTCTGTCAGCTAGGAGGATTTGTTTTAGATGTAAGCACATTTGTTCCAAACCCAAATACATAATGAAAACATTTTTATTCCACATAACATCTCTGTTGATATGTGCAAAATGTGCATTTGCCATATTGCACAAATAATTAATCAATTATAATCTTTTCTGTGTCACAATATTAGAATCTCTTTTGTGTTGATGAGAAAAAGATAAATTTTGAAGTGGCATTGAGAATATAAACAGAAGTAGAATGCTAACCAAGAAATATGTTTTAATCGTATGATACTTTCAGTCTACCATAGATACTATTTTCTTTGAAAACATTTTATGTGTGTTTATACACACATGTGTAACTAAATTCTGATCTTTTCTGTGTGACCATTTATAAATACTCAGTGCCTACTAGAGTAGAAACTGCAAACATAAAAGTTTAGGGAAAAATAAATATACGGGTAAATACATAAATAAATGCATGCACTAAAGGTCAGGAAATCTATTTGCATGCTTGAAATGAAGTTCCTGCTGATTTCCAATTTAATTCTATTATTATCTCAGTTTAGTATCTTCATTCACCTTCCATAGTATGTATGTATGCATATGTATATTATATACATGTAAGATAGATACAGGTTTAGATGTACATATAGTGTTATTTACAAAGTCCTAAAGAACCTTGAAAATAATTTTAAGTGGTTGCCAATTATAATTACAAAACCAAAAAGTATTCTACTCAACTCTTACAAATCAACTGGCCAATTTTATGAAAAATACTTGGCCATTTTATTTTCCTTGTTCAAGTTATTATTCGGTCATTTTCTTCATGTTAACATTTCCACTAGGGGGTGCAAAAGCGAACAACGTTTAGATTTTTCTCATCTTTTGTACCAAGAACTAATGAAGAAAATTTGAAGCTATAAGTTAAAATTATTTTTATATTTCTAAAAATTATAACATTTAATTAGTTTATTTATAGCGTGAAAATAGTTTTATTTAGCTATTAAGAGTTTGGGAAGGCAGTGCTATATAACAAACGGTTTCAAGATGGTGCCTTGGCAGGCAAAGCTGGATTTAAATTTGGCTTCGATATTCACGATTGGGTATTATGTTGGGCAAGTGGCTTTGGCCTTGCAAAGCCTGTTTCCTTATCTCTAACATGTTTTCCGGCACTGATCACACATTCAGATTCTGTTCTTCAGCGTGCAAGATACTATTTTCCATTCCAAGATAATATTTACACAGACTTAAATTTTTAGTTTATAAAGTTAAGACTGAACGAGACAATTTTTTGTGTGTTTATGTCAGCCTATATCACATGATGGCACATAAACAGAAGCTGATGTTGTCGCTGTTTTCTCCCACATTTTTCCTCTTCTTCCTCCTTCTTTTCTACCTCTTTCTTCTTCTCCTTCTTTATAGTGATGTTATTATTTCCAGTGGATATGCCCTTCATTGAAATAGCTTTAGGGAGAATGATTATTATAGCCAACATATCAATAAAATGTGTGAATCCAGCTGCAAAGCAAAAACGCAGGAAAGGTGTATAATGTATAAGGTATACTAGAGACAGCAGTAGCATATTAGTGTTAGCCAGACCTGTGCCTGAAATTCAAATGCAAACAAGGTTGGGTCACATGTCCCAGCCTGTTCAGGTAGAAACTGAGGAGTATGGCAAGCTAAATGTGGGGCCAAATCATAACATTAAATTTATCCATTGCTCATAACTAGATTGTACTTAAAAATACGAGGCATTTAAGACTGAGCAACATGACAAAACACCACCTGCACTAAAAATACAAAAAAAAAAAAAAAATTAACCAAGCATGGCAGTGCACACTTGTACTTTCAGCTACTCAGAAGGCTAAGGTGGAAGAATCACATGAGCCCAGGAAGTCAAGGTTACAGTGGGCTGTACCCATGATCATGCCACTGCACTCCAGCCTGGGTGATGGGAGGGAGACGCTGTCTCAACAACCAAAAAAAATGTTTAAACGATCTTACTATATTTGTTACAATCGCCTTTTTCTCTCTGACTTCAAGTTATGAATCTGTCTTTTATCTCTACTCTAGCAATATAAATAAAATACTCTTTAGACATAAACTCAGAAGAACACCAGAAATGTCCACCTACAATCACTTTTCTCATAGGAAAAAGTGGTGGATTAGGTACCAGGGGCTAGGAAGAAGCCTTGGTCAAGTGTACACTAGGAAATCATTGCATTACATGTGGTACCTCTGAACTCCCAACTATTTGGTAGGTTCCTTCTGAGGCACCAGTCATAAATCTCAGATGCTTTTCTGCACCATCCAGGATGTTATTTTCAATTTTCAACAGACCTGTACTTTTAGCCTATTGTTATTGGTGGAGGGTGTCCAGGTTCTTGGCGTCGGACAAAACACACAAACAAAGCAAAGAAAGAATGAAGCAACAAAGGCAGAGCTTTACTGAAAACGAAAGTACACTCCACAGGGTGGCAGCGGGCCCAAGCATAGGGGCCGAAGACCCCAGTTACAGAATTTTCTGGGGTTTGAGTACCCTCTAGAAGTTTCCCTGTGTTACTTGGTGCATGCCCTATTTAAATGAAGAGGATATTTCCTGTCATAGCTGAGGTGTTTCTTTCTGATTTAGTCTTAGGAGGTCCTTGGATTCCCTCCCTCCAGGCCCTATGGCCTGCCTCACTGATTCATACCCATTCAGATCAAATTCTTATATTTCACTATTTAGAACTATACTCTTTCAAACATGTTCAGTGGCTGAAACCATTAAAGATTTGCTGAAGGATCAGATCCAAGCCCTGTGAAAACATATTAAACATTAATTATTAATCTTTAGCTTTTCCTCCTGAATCATGTTTTCTTTTTTTCACATCACAAATGGGCTGGGGTCCAGCATAAAGCAGATATGGTTTCTAATGGTCCTATGAAATTTGTATGATGTTCACTGGACTTTATGCTTATTTTTTTTAAATTTTGTATGTGTAAATGTCACATCTCATATCCAGAAGGACCCACCCATCCTGAGCAATTAATGCAGCTCATTGTTAGGAAGAACAGTTGACAATATGCTAAACCTCCAACTGGTTATTCTCAGTAACTGGAAACTTTGAATGCAACAGTGGTTCTAAATTATTTGTCTTAGTGGCCATTTATGGGCTAATACTAGAATTCCCAGCACCCCATGAATTATTCTTTTATGCCTATGACAAACCAAACTTTGTATAACGTGAAGAAAACTGCTATGGAGCAGGGGGAAGCCTGCCATTCCTCAATATTAAGAAATCAATATATCTCCTCTCCAGTGGTACAGTGTCATTTAGATAGGACTCTCAATACATAGCTACAATAAGGCATTATATCTATTTTGTGTAATATTTGATATATGATTAGGAGCAAGATAGATCCATGTATACTTACGCTTATCTCAACAAAAGATATTTAGTTGCCCTTTTGCTTCTGCTCAGAGTACAAAGCCAACTCCTTAACTCCTTACCAATGTATCAGTCATTAGTGGTGTTGAAACAAAATTCTCCCATTTTATATCACATATATTCGTGGTAGGTTTTCCAAAGTGTAAAAAGAGCACAACCTCTATATGTGGATTTTTAAAGCATTACAATGCTTTCAGTAACATTTAAGTATTTCCTTCTGTGGATCATAATTATTTAAACAGTGTTGTCTGTGGAAATGAAAGATAAAGAAAGGCACAAAAATGTAATATGTAAACATCTGGACACCAACCTGCATGTTCAGACTAAAGCAAGTTTATTATTTTTTGTAATAGTACTTGGCCCTTTAAAGTTTATACAAATGTCACTACCTTTTGTGGAAGTCACAAGAATGTGAATAAATTAGAACAATTTAGAATTAGAACAATTAGAATAAATTAGAACAAATTAGAAGGTATAATGATGTATTCCAGCCAAAGTTACATATAGTTATAGAGACTTTTTTTTGTAAACTATTGAAATCATACAGAATATTGTAGTGTTTAGTTAGACTATACTTTACAAAATGCTTGACACTCCTGAATAGCAAGGATAATAGCTTAACTAATGATCCTTTAAATGGGTATGTAAAATATAATTTAAGCTACTTGCAACATGCAAAAGAGAGGCATCATTTGTTACTGCCAAAAATCACTGGCATGTGGAAATCAGAAAATCATTAGCGTTGATAGAAATAGCTTAATACAACAGGGAAGAGAACACATTATTTAGAGCAGTTAAATGACAATTGATGCAACCACTGGTGAAACGCAGAAAAAAAGTGGATATGATTTAGTGAATGATAAATTCTGCACTTAGTATTTATGCATGCAAAGGAATGGAAATCTTTGCTCATTAACCAAGGCACTTAGTTTGTGAGCCAAAATGCTTCAGGCTGTAGCCCTAATTGTCATAAATGTTTATCTCTCTGCAAGTTTAATTTAGGCTTAAGAAAAAATGTTATCCTGAGTGATGAATATTCTACATTTTTTTCATCTTTTTCATCAGCCTAAGCCAGTTTGCTCAAATCCCTGTTTATATCCTTTCTCCTCCATGCAATCTCCGTGATGCCTCTAGCTACCATTAATCTCTCTCTTTTTTCCCCATTATTCCCCCACTCTTTTTTACATCTATTATAGCAGTGTGCCTAATGGTATATTTACAGGCATACCCCATTTAGCACTGTCTTCTAGAGCACCAATTATTCATAGCTGTTTAGTAGAGTGTCATACTGTGCTGTCCTCAGTTTGAATGGCACTTGCCAATCTGTTTTGTTTATACTCTTGAATTTCCTTGCCATTAACATACTATTTTCCAGCTGACAATATCTTTGATTCTCAGCAAATACATTGAAAGTTTCTCAAAGTATGAACAAACATGGATCATTGTAAGGCTGTTAGAACAGCATGCAGCATTGCGTGTGAGAACCTTAGGTGACGGTGGACCATTTGAACACATGTAGAATAAGAAGTCAGTTAATCATCCCATGCTTGTATGTTAATTTAGTTTGAAATCACTGTGCCGGGAACACATCTCTATAGGGGATGTCATGACTTTTCATTTATTTATTGTTGATATTTATGCATCTATCTCCCTTCATTACAAAGGAGAATGAATGGAGTCTGCCTATGTATGTACCTGTGTACCATTTAACACTGAAAGTCCTCTCAAAACCGAAATTAAAACTGGGTGGTAAAAATCTTAACTACATAGAGGCAAAGTAAGCAACATCAATATGTGAAGAGGATAAAATTTAGCATTATAAACACAGCACCACATTAAATATTACCAACTGGAGTGCCTACCTGCCCAAAGCAAGCAATAGCTGTTGAGCTATGACTATTTCCATGAAGTAATGTAAATATAATTTTCTCATGCCTTCAAATTTTTCAAGAGCACCTAAAATATGATTTTCATATCTTTTAAGTGTTGGCCATACTTTAAGTTATGGTTATTTTCAATATCGTACAGTTCAAATAAAATACTTCTGTGGATGAGATCCAGCGCATGGGTTACCTGTTTATGGCCCCTGCCATAACTTTTCTTCTTCTTGTCCTCCCTTTCTGCATTCTTTCCTTTTACTTTTTTTCCATCCATCCTTTTATTCAGGTGTGTGTATGTGTTCACAGGTATGTGCATGCAGTGAATATAAATTAGTGATATGCAATCAAGTATAAAATCAGATATTAAAAATACAAAAAAATAAAAAATGAATAAAAAATAGTAAAAATGTAGATGTTGTCAGGAGTTTTGAACAATGTCTAGGTGTGACTGTAGATTCAGCTGAATCAGAAAGACAAATACAACCAGTTACAACATTTATAATTTCCCCCTTTTCCCAATAAGCGACAAGAACTTATTGATTTCAGAGAATAATCATGTATTTTTCTAGTACTAAATTCTAAGATAAAATAAATATGCTTGGTAATATCACAATATCCTCACAAACATCTCCACAATAAATATGAGATTTTTAGAATTAATTTTATTGTGTTCCTCTATGCAAGACAAGTCATATTAAATACCAAACTTAATTTTTACCATGCTTTCAACAAGGTGACAAAACATTAAAATCAGGTACAGATCTTATAACTGCAGTTGATTGTCAGAGAAGTGGACAGAGTATATACAACTTAAAGATATCTTACTAATTATTGAATGCCTACAGCCCTTAACAAAGCTTTTTGTATGTAGAAGGTGCTATATGAAAGTGTAAGGTAAAGAATTAAGTACATATTTGATTGGAGTTTATAAAAAGAAGCGCCTCAAAATACAAAACACTGTATTTAAGAAACAAGCATTTACCCTGTACTGGTCACAGTGCAATTAAAATTAACTTTTAAAAATGTTTCAATATCTCCTAGAACTTTCACTTGCACCATTAGAAATACAGGTCCACCACATATGCCAACAATTATCAGTTGTAAAATTTAAAAATAATATTAAGTAGCAGAATGCCTCAGATGATTTTTGTCAGCATTTCTTTTAGGCAAGGATCTACTCTAGCATCATTTTATTTTATATTTTTGGGGGACAAATCAACTCAAACTCAGATCTCTGGTACATATTCCCAACCCCAGCACCTGTTGAAGGATGGTCACAGTTGCCTGTGTAAATTACACACCCTCACCTTAACTGCCCCAAATAATTGACACTAAGGAAGATACTTAGCCCAGGGAGAAAATAGCCCATTCGCTGACCAGCTGGCCAATGATACATTGGATTTTTCCCTCTCAAATACATAAACTAATAAATCAGAAGAATGTTTATGCACGAAACTCCCATTTTCAAGCATATAATGCTGATAGGTAAACAAGGGAAGCTAAACTTCAGAAAGAAGAAAGAAAATGGAGCAAATAGTATCAAGAAAGAAGAGTGAGGGAATAAGGTGCTTTTGAAAAATGAGGGATGAGACATGAGAAATTACTTAATTACTACAATGTGTACTATTCGGGTGATGGCTACTCTGAAACCCCATACTTCCCCACTGTGCAATATACACTATGCATATAACAAAACTGCATTTTTACCCCCAAAATCTATTTTTAAAAATAAGAAAAAAAGAAAGGTGGAGAAAAATGGTTTTTGCAGCTCAACCCAACAGCCTTTACTAGAAAATTGTCTGGAAAGATTTCCTCTGACCCCCACCTACCCAACAAATACACACTGAATGGCACAATTGCTTAGGAAAGCTTGAGTGACTAGCACTTTCTTGTTATTAATTAAATAATCATGACTGAAATGAACTTGATGAATCTATTTTTTTATAACTGAAATAATACTACGGTAAAAATAGATGTGTTTGTGTATATGTGTCATGCGTTTTTCAGAACAATTGTTATGAGTAATGTCTAATTCAGGGGTATCCAATCTTTTGGCTTCCCTGTGCCACAGTGGAAGAAGAATTGTCTTGGGCCACAAATAAAATACACTAACACTAACAATAGCTGATAAGCTTAAAAAAAAAGATCTGGGCATAAGTCTCATAATGTTTTAAGAAAGTTTGTGAATTTGTGTTGGGCTGCATTCAAAACCATCCTGGGCTTGCTTGGTTTAATTGTTAAAGGTACAATTTGTTATTCATTTTTCGTGTTCAAAAAAAGCTGATTTTGGAGATGATAGAATTCTGCCAAGGTCAGAGGAGGCCTGTATTTGTACTTGGCTTGCTGAATTCGGACCTATTCTTTCTGAATGTGGCAGCTCTTCCTTGTAATTTGTTTCAAGATTGTAACTGTTTTCTAAGGTCTTCATTTTTGTAGTACCCATCTTCATCTTCAGAAAGTTGAGCAAGGCAGCAATGTCTTTGCTCAACCAACTTTTATGACTATTTTCCCACTCAACTTATTTTAGTGTAATTCTCTCTCAGTTGGAATTCATTCTTATGACATTTATCTTTCCATTGTTTTTGCAATTCAACAACAGCCTACTTCGTAATAAACCTGTAATTTTACTTAAAAAACTGTAGAGGATTTTTAATTGCCTGGTTTAGAAAGAAGTAAAATGTTCCTTTTAATTTAACAAAGAAAATGTCTGAAACCAGATGTATTTTTGAGTGTTTATTGATTATTCGCATTCTTTCTTTATCTTTGAAATTCAAATATTTTCTGAAGAGGTAATCTATATGATGGTCTCTCTATATCAATTTTGGCTAGGGAAAATTCTTTTGACTTATGAGCTCAAATATGTCTTCAGCTGTACAAAGTATTATTCCATCAATATATTTTTTTCAATTCGAAGAAAACAGTATTTTTGCTTTGAATATTTTGAGATTATAAAATTAGAATTTGCTTTGTGTTTGGCTCAACAATCTTGCCACTCTTCAGGCAACAGCAAATTGCAACATAGTAGTCATTATCTGTGCAGTTATGAACTACCCACCCATGGAAGAAATCTCATGACAAATGTCTTTTCTTTGGATAAAATATTTGGCAGCTAGATCAACAGCGTAGTTAAATTTTAGTGGATATTTGGTTTTTTAAAAATGTTATTTCCAATATGTCGCTACATCATTAGATTTTAAACAATGTTGTACCTCTGAAATAAAAAGTTATTCTGTGTCCAGGAGATTATCTCTCACGTGCCAAGCAATGCTATTAAAAGTATTATTGATTACCAAATTTAACATAGGTTGGTGGGAAAGTTCTATAAGGGATAGATAGCAAATATTTTCGGCCTCCAGTCCATATCTTTTCTGTAGCAACTACTTTACCCTGTCCTTATAGGAGAGAGTAGCAGCAAAGAATGATATGCACATGAATGGGTGTGGCTGTGTTCCAATAAAATTTTATTTTACAAAACCAGGTGGCAAGCCAGATATGACTCTCCAGGCATAATTACCAACCCCCGGAATGTATCTTAAGATCTCCAGAACCTGGAGAAGGTATTGTGACCAATGTGTTTATAAAGAACTCTCACTCAGGCATTGAATATCCTGCTGAATATTCCAGCTGAATAGTTTCCCGGTGTATTTCAAATAAGGATATTCGTTTTCAGTGCATCCTAATTCAATTATATAATTAATTATTAATTTTTTTTAGTGGATTCATTTATCTGTTTTGCTAAGTATCTGTGTCTCAGTGTTATTGTTTTATATTAGCCATGAATGGAGATAAATCTAAATATTTTTCAAAAAACAGGACATATAAATTATCTTCAATTTTCCCATTAGCCACTTTTCAGATGCTAGAATTATGAATATGCTAATATATTGGTTGGTATAGAAAGCCCTATATAACTTTCTAGTGTTTTCTTGTCTTTATTTATCATCCGTCTTTTTACCTATGGAGGCAATTCATTGTCCCACTAATCAGTCATTTTACAATAAGTAGTTTATTTTATTCTTACAAAGTTTGAAATATTTCTTTTACTTTCCAAAAATAGTAATTGAAAAATTTCACTTTTTGAAATCTGGTGACTTCATATTCTTGGATGTAAATCAACCAGCCGTAACAATTTTTGTCCCTGACAACATTGAATTGATGTAAATTATATTCACCAAGTAGATGTCAGCAAAGCACTGTTAAAGAAACAAGATAAAAATGAGGACTATCAAACAGTTCTTTCTCCTGTCTCATGGGATAGATAGTAATTTTCTTTCCTCTAGTTGATGAACACCAACATTTTCCAAGTAGTTCCACAATCAAAGTGGGCAAATATCATTCTCATATGGCCTTCTTCACCTTTTATTTCTGCCACCCTTTTATTCTCATGTATGGCATTTTCTTTGTTGTGAGCAAAATTGAAATTTGATGTTTTATTTTGTGATTCTAGGAATGATATATGGGAATATGGTGGAATGTGGATGGATGTGTGTTACCATAATCCACACTCTCAGAGTTTCTGTTTTCTAGTGGAAAAAAAATGCAAATTATTGATATAATTATATTTTATAAATTATCTCCTGATAAATAAAACATCATTAATAATTGAGAGTTAAACACTCTTCAATTAGTTGTATAATCTGTGATAAATTAACACTTTTAAATATATTCAGGCATGTTGCACCTAATATAATTTTAAAGAAAATTTAAACGTCATTGTTGATATTTTCAGCTCCCTTGCTACAATTGATGAAATTTATGTACATTTAAAACATTGTTAACAGTGTTATGTCATTGCTCTACAAAAACAGGAAGCAGAGGTTAAATAAGTCCTACTCCCAGTTATATTTCTATCTTATATAAACATTAATTAAAATAAAATTAATTATTAAAAGGGATGCATATTTAATTACTTAATTTATTATTTTTAAATTTTTTAAACTTTTATTTAAGATTCAGAGGGTACAGGTGCAAGTTTGATACCTCTGTATGTCATAGTGTTGCAGGATTTTTGCTCCTTATCTCAGCTAGGTCCAGGTTATTGCCTCAAGACCGGGAAGAATTAGGCACATGGACACCAAAGAGTGAATGGAGTAGAATTTATTAAGCGAAAGGAAAGCTCTCAGCAAAGGGAGAGGTCCTGAAAGCAGGTTTCCAGTTGTCCCCTTCACAGTTGAATACCAGGGCTAGGGCTTAAGGTGTGAGTGAATTCCTGGCAGCTCCACCCCATCCTTCCAGTGCACATGTGAGCCCTTAGACTGAGCCACTCCATATTGATTTATTTCTCTAACTGTGTATGTATGTGTTAAGGAACAGAATTTTCCACTGAGGGCATGTTTAAACAAGCCCCCTGTGCAAGTTCCCTTATCTGCACAAAACATCTGGTGTAAACACTTGTGGGGCAGGTCGGAGGTTCCTTGAGGACCCTTCTCTTACTTTCTGTCTAAAGGAAGCTGGCTAACTCCTTTCCTTCCCCCATTCAGGAGTGAAGACCCCAACTGCTGTTGGGGAAAGTGAACGATGTCCACTCTTAACTGTGTCCTGCTGACAGGGGGCGCTGTTTGGAGAAAGCCATTAGAGCTCCTCCTGAGGTTGCTTTAAGAGTACCTGGAAGAGGCCGGGCACGGTGGCTCACGCCTGTAATCCCAGCACTTTGGGAGGCCGAGGCAGGCGGATCACGAGGTGAGGAGATCGAGACCATCCTAGCCAACACGGTGAAACCTCGTCTCTACTAAAAATACAAAAAATTAGCCGGGCGTGGTGGCGGGCGCCTGTAGTCCAGCTACTCGGGAGGCTGAGGCAGGAGAATGGCGTGAACCTGGGAGGCGGAGCTTGCAGTGAGCCGAGATCACGCCACTGCCCTCCAGCCTGGGCAACAGAGCGAGACTCCGTCTCAAAAAAAAAAAGAGTACCTGGAAGAATGGCACATCCATGCACAGTTCCATTTGCCTCACCATTTGAAGTTTAGTACTCTAAGCAAGAATAAACAATTTGAGTTATTAGAAAATATATATCAAACTGAAGGCGGTAAGGACAGCTCAAAAATCCCAAGGCTGCCAGCATACCCAGATAGCTGGTGGCTATAGTTATGCCTGCTAAGATTTGGGTGCATGGGGCTTGGCTTTGGTTAGCTCCCTTGGTCTTATTTTCCCAAACAAAGAAACCTCCAGGTTATAGGCTCCTCATTCACTCCCATCACCTGGCAGGATTTGCAGGATAATCACTCAGAATTAAAATATTGATCTAGATTTTTACATTACCCATACCATTTGTTTCTTCTGAGCTTCAGCCAGAGATCGCTGGTTGGTTCACAGGTACAAGCAGGGTTAGTCTAAAATGTAGGCAAAAACTTACAAACAACTGATGAGATTAGAATTTAATAAGTGTATGATAAGTTTTGAAACATAATTTTTCTCTCTCTAGTCCTCATTTTTGTCAGAAACAAATTATGGTAGGACTTGAGTTATTTGCAAAATAAACTTTAGTGTTATATGTGGTCTAATTATTTGCATAAAGTGCAGCAAGAATAATTATTTTTCACATAGGCTTTTAAATTGGCTTTGATGGAACTCTGGTCCACAAAGAATCTCAGATAAGACTTTTTAAAGCTGAGCCCAGCAATGGGTTTGTACCCTCAAATACCTATGAGTTGGATAAATTCCTTTTTGAGGTCCGAAAAACATGGGGCTCCTGGGCTCGCTAGAAAGTGACATTCTCTACTCACCACAGGTTAAGAACCCTGTACACGAACTGTGTAGACAAGGTATGAGGCCAGTTTTCCCAAGGGGCTTTTATTGGCTCTGCAAGTCAAGCTTGATTCCTTAAAGAGAAGCACGTCCTTCCAGTCAAAGCCTTGGCAAAACAACCAGTTTCTCAAATTGTGTCCTGTTGCAAAAGAAAATGGATTCTTATTGCAGTGATGCAAATAACTATATTGCCATAAGCTAAGAATACTCAGAATAGTTTCCAGATTCTGGAGAGGCCAGGCAGAGAGAAACATGCTCCAAATTTTGTTCACAGGAGTATACCTTACTCAATTATTAAAGACTGTAAATCACTCAAAATAGGTTTCCTTGATTCTGAAAAACAAAACAAAAATCAGCAATGTCTTAAGCAAAAAGCTGAAAAGATTACTTTAGTTTTCTATTAGTTCAGTCTATTCCATTAACTCTTGTTCTGCTTGATATTCATGAACATTTCAGTTCTTCATGAGTCTTATACATTTCCCTCTATTCCAATGTCATAATCTGCAAAGATATCAGAAACTTGCATTTAAAAGCACCTGTCAAAGTCCTATAGCTGATTATAAATAATCTTTTGAAAAGGAAAAAAAAACAGGACAATAATTGTCTGTGAATGACAAAATGTCCAGGGTAGTTACAGTCAAGAATACAATTGACCAAAGAAATTTGTTTATCTCTGTGGTTTACAGTAACTTAACATAATAACCTTAATTATGATTGATAGCATATACTCAGACATTAGAATTTTAGAAATCCCATACAACTTTTGAACATGCATTATTATTCACTAAAATATAACCTGAAGAAGTTTAAACCTTATTTTTATTTTAGCAATTCCTTGTAACTAAGTATGTCATATAATCCTGTTTACCTCTCTTCTGGATGCTCCAGGGGCTCTCTGTAGCATCCAAAAGCTAGGGGTCAGAAAGAACAATTTTTGAAGCTGAAGTTTGATTTTGAGAAGCCTACGAAACATGTTAAAGGTTCAAAAGATTTGATACTATGAAATACAATTCCAAATTATCATAAGTTATTTATTTAGCCAAAATGATGACACAAAAATTTTTTAAAAGGCGAAAACCTTTCCTTATCCTTTACTATTACATGAAAATCTTGTTCAAGGGAGAGAAAGCCAAATTTTAGCCTTGCATTAGTCTACTATTAATGTCAACCCCAATTTTTTAGTGAAACCTTATAGATGACTCTATCCAATCTTAACCAGTTTGACCATCAGTTGAGATGCTTATAAACCTTTTATAACCCTTTATAAATTTTTGTTAAAGAGTAGATTGTTGCCTTAAGAAACCTCATTGTGTTTTTATTTCAAAGCTCAATTTATGGAACAACCATTTAATAACTTTTTGAAGTTAGTCAATATGATCACACAAAGAATTTCTTCTACAAGATTAATTTTTACAAACTACCCACCATTTTTTTAAATCTTCAGCTTTATCTAATTCAAGACAATCCTTTAACCTAGGCAAAAATTTACATTCCCATGCCTTCTTATAATCTTTTACTAAAAACCATTTTACTTTCCTTGAATACCTTACATGTAAGTCCAATTTCAGCAGTCTTAATTACATGTTATAACGGCAACTCTTAGCAATTTTTAATTTTAGTGCAAACCTTGGTAAGTTATTTTAATTACATAATAGGTGCAGATAAAATCTGCATAGTTAAGGGCGTGGATAATTCCATATGTCCCAGGCATTACCAAACTGTAAAGCAGGCAAGTCAAACAGTTCTGAAAAGCCAAAGAATCATTTTATAACCTTAAAACATTTAGCAAACCTACTGTCTGACCTGCATAATTTGGACCACATATTTATATTTTGAAGACATTTGTATTTTACCAATTAGCTTTAAAACTGTTTTTATTTTCCAGAGATTGTCATGTGAACTAAAAGACATTATGCTTTTATTTTTTCTTCAAAAATATTTGATCTAAGTGCTTATTTTTTAGCCCAATTAGAGCTCGTTTTTATATAACCATCACACACATAACACATGTATGATTACACAGACAGACAGAAGAAGGTACAGTAGTTGTAAGATTTTTCATTTGCCAACCTCCTAATTGGATTATTGGCCTCAGGGTGGAGCCCTTCAAAAAGTAGGGCTAGGAAAGCCTGCAGTTTTTAGGGCCCAACAAACAGGCAAAGCTGGAAGACAAAAGCAGATTTTGAGAGGGAACTATCTGCTTTTAATTCTTGGGGTTCCATGAGGAAAACAGGTTTTTTTCCCAAAATGGGATCTGTGACACCTTCTCTATTTCTCCCAAGGAGTCCTATGCTCTCATAAGTTATCTTAGGGCCTCTAATGTGTGCATTAAGAGTGGCAAGACAAAATGGGGAAAAGTAATTCAGTTGACTGACAAAAATAACCTTTTCCAGAAAAACAAGATCCAAGAGGAGAAAAACATAAAGCCCTTTTAAGTATACCTGTAGCTTGGATATTCACTTTTAATTAAGCTGAGTGCTCTTTGAGAAAATCTGTTCAAATCCCTTGTTACCCGTTTTAGCCGTGCTAAGTGGCCAATATTTCTGACTTTTGAACTTTACGAAAAGTAACCTCACAGGTGAAACCAACAAGCCTCAACTAAAGTTATGACTTAATCGCAAGTGTACAAGGTATTATAGAGGTGGTAAGCAATTTTTACACAATCTAGAATCTTTAAAGGTAGCTCAGAGAAGGAAACATTTAAGAAAGGAAGCTAGAAGTTGGTCATGGATGGGAAGATACTCAGCAAAGTAAAAGTCACACAGGTATTAGCCAGAAAATACTCATTCCCAAAGCCAGGATTGAACCCAGGCTGCCATCGTAAACAGCAGAGACCAAAACCAAGTATTTCTACATGGTTATATGTCATGCTCCCAAGGATGTAAAACGAGATGGAAACATAAAACAAAGTTTGTTACTGACCAGTTTGCTGGGCTGGCTTGAACAGTGGGTTTATAGAGTACTAGGCCCACAGTCCATCCTAAGGTACTCCTCTTCATAACAGAACCAAACAGAAAGACAAACAAAGCACACCAGATTGGCTGCAGCTTACAACTAGCCTCATAAATCCTTTATCCATTAATCAAAACTTTACAGAGGATTAAACAGTG
Source organism: Homo sapiens (assembly GCF_000001405.40). Classification (NCBI taxonomy): domain Eukaryota; kingdom Metazoa; phylum Chordata; class Mammalia; order Primates; family Hominidae; genus Homo; species Homo sapiens. The sequence continues at coordinate 164,973,200 of NC_000005.10, forward strand.
ATTTTATCATTCTTTCAACCAGTTTGCACAGGAAGAGGGAGGCCAGAAGTCCAACTGTTAAAAAACTTTTACCCTTTACCTGGCATGTCAGGCTTTTGGATTCCTTTCCCCTGAGCTCAATTTTAAGCCCAGCAGTTTAAGGTTGGGGAAGTTAACTTTTCCAATTTGGGGGATACATCTAATGGGATTGTCCTGTGGTACAGGAACACAAATACCCATCGGTGAAGAGAGGACAGAGGAGGAAAAAGGAGAAAGAAGGTTTTTTTGTTTGTTTGTTTTATTTTCAAAGGAATCCCAGTGATTCAAGATGCATTGGAGAGAAATACAGACTGAAGATAATTGGTTACCCATCTAGAAAGAGGTAAAAAAGGCATCCCTCATTCCTTTCTCTTCCCAGTGAATAGCTGGGGTATATGAGTGATGTGGTTTGGTTATGTCCCCACCCAAATCTCATCTTGAATTCCCACGTGTTGTTGGAAGGATCTGATGGGAGGTAAATGAATTATGGGGGCAGGTATTTCCTGTGCTGTTCTCATGATAGCGAATAAGTATTACGGTATCTGATGGTTTTAAGAATGGGAGTCTCCCTGCACAAGCGCTCTCTCCCTTTGCCTGCTGTCACCAATGTAAGATGTGATTTGCTCTTCCTTGCCTTTCACCATGATTGTGAGGCCTCCTCAGCCATGTGGAACTAAGTCCATTAAACCTCTTTATTTTACAGATTGTGTAGTCTCGGGCATGTCTTTATCAGCAGTATGAAAATGAACTAATACAGTAAATTGTTACCACAAGTGGGGTGCTGCTGAAAAGATACCCAAAAATGTAGAACCAGCTTTAGAACTGGGTAACAGGAAGAGGTTGAAACAGTTTGGAGGATTCAGAAGACAGGAAACTGTGGGAAAGTTTGGAACTCGCTTGAGACTTGTTGAATGACTTTGGCCAAAATGCTGATAATGATATGAACAATGAAATCCAGGCAGAGGTGGTCTCAGATGGAGATGAGGTATTTGTTGGGAACTGCAGCAAAGCTGACCTTTGTTATGTTTTAGCAAAGAGACTGGGAGCATTGTGCCCCTGCCCTAGAGATTTGTGGAACTTTGAACTCAAGAGGGATGATTTAGGGTATCTGGGAGAAGAAATTTCTAAGTAGCAAAGCATTCAAGAGGTGACTTGGGTGCTGTTAAAGGCATTCACTTTTAAAAGGGAAACAGCATAAAAGTTAGGAAATTTGCAGCCTGACTATATGATAGAAACCCATTTTCTGAGGAGAAATTCAAGCCAGCCCCAGAAATTTGCACAAGTAACAAAGAACCAAATGTTAATCACAAAGACAAAGGGGAAAATGTCTCCAGGGCGTGTCAGAGAACTTTGTGGCGCCCCTCGCATCACAGACCTGGAGATTTATAAGGTAAAAATGGTTTTATGGGCCAGGCCCAAAATCCCCATATTTTGTGCAGCTTAGGGACTTTGTGCCCAATGTCCCAGCTGCACCAGCTAGGGCTGAAAGGGGCCAACGTAGAGCTCAGGCCATGGCTTTACAGGGTGCAAGCCCCAAGTCTTGGCAGCTTCCACGTGGTGTTGAGTCTGCAAGTGTACAGAAGTCAAAAGAATTGGAGTTTGTGAACCTCCTCCTAGATTTCCTAGGATGTATGGAAATGGCTGGATGCCCAGGCAGATGTTTGCTGCAGGGGTGGGACTCTCATGGAGAACCTCTGCTAGGGCAGTGCAGAAGAGAAATGTGGGGTTGGAGCCCCCACACAGAGTCCCTACTGGGGCACTGCCTAGTGGAGCTGTGAGAAGAGGGCCACCATCCTCCAGATCCCAGAATGTTAGATCTACTGACAGCTTTCATCATGTGCCTGTAAAAGCCACAGACACGCAGTGCCAGCCTGTGAAAGCAGCCAGGATGGGGGCTATACCCTGCAAAGCCACAGGGGCGGGGCTGCCCAAAGTCGTGGGAGCCTGCCTCTTTCATCAACATGATCTGGACGTGAGAAGTGGAGTCAAAGGAGATCATTTTGGAGCTTTAAGATTTGAATGCCCCACTGAATTTTGGACTTGCATGGGGCCTGTAGCCCCTTTGTTTTGGCCAGTTTCTCCCATTTGGAATGCCTGTATTTACCCCCTTGCCTGTATCTCCATTGTATTTAGGAAGTAACTAGCTTGCTTTTGATTTTGCAGGCTCACAGGCAGAAGGGACTTATCTTGTCTCGGATGAGACTTTGAACTGTGGGCTCTTGAGTTAATGTTGAAATGAGTTAAGACTTTGGGGGACTGTTGGGAAGGCATGACTGGTTTTGAAATGTGAGAACAATAGATTTGGGAGGGGCCAGGGCGGAATGATATGGTTTGGCTATGTCTCCACCCAAATTTCATCTTGAATTCCAACATTCAAGATGGGAGGGACCCAGTGGGAGGTAATTGAATCAAGAGGGTATGTCTTTCCTGTGCTTTTCTTGTGATAGTGAATAAGTCTCATGAGAGCTGACGGTTTTAAAAACAGGAGTCTCCCTGCACAAACTCTCTCTCTCTCTCTTTTTCTGCTGTCATCCATGTAAGATGTGATGTGCTCTTCCTTGCCTTCCACCATGATTATGAGGCATCCCCAGCCATGTGGAAATATAAGTCCATTAAACCCTTTTCCTTTGTAAATTGCCCAGTCTTGGCTATATATGAGCAGCATGAAAACAGACTAATATAGTAAATCCTCAACTATGCTAGGTCCAGGTTCTTGTCTCACAATCAGGAAGATATAGGCATGTGGACACCAGAGAGTAAGCTGAATAGAATTTATTAAGTGAAAGCAAAGAGAGGGGTCATGAAAGCAGGTTTCTGGTTGCCCCCTTCACAGTTGAATACCAGGGCTTAAGGTGCAAATTCCTGGCAGCTCCACCCCAACCTTCCAGTGTGCATACAGGCCGTTAGACTGAGCCATTCCATATTGATTTATTTCCCTGACTGTGCATGTGTTAAGGAATGGAATTTTCTCCCATGGGCATGTTTAGGCAAAACGCCTGTGCAAGTTCCCTCATCTGCACAAAACATCTGGTGTAAGCACATGTGGGGTGTGTTGGAGGTACTCTGGGGATGCTTCCCTTCCTTCCTTCCTAAAGCAAGCTGGCTTAATCCCTTCAATAGTGTGATGCTGAGGTTAGTAGTATGAATGGTCCTGTCACATAGGTACTGAGCATAGTACCCAACAGTTAGTTTTTCAGCCCATGTGCCCAACCCTCCCTCTCCCTTCTGGTAGTTCACAGTGTCTACCATTCCCCTCTTTATGTCCATGATTACCCAATGTTTAGCTCCCATTTATAAGTGAAAACATGCAGTATTTACTTTTTTGTTCCTGTGTTAATTCACTTAGGATAATGGCTTCCAGCTGCATCCATGTTATTGCAAAGGACATGATTTCTTTCTTTTTTACAGCTGCACAGTATTCCATGGTGTATATATACCACATTTTCTTTATCAAATTCACCATGGATGGGCACCTAGGTAGATTCAATGTCTTTGCGATTGTGAATAGTGCTGCAATGAACATGATAGTGCATGCATTTTTTTTGGTAGGATGAATTATTTTCTTTTGAATGTATACCTAGTAAGGGAATTGCTGGGTGAAAGGGCAGTTCTCTTTTAAGTTATTTGGGAAATCTCCAAAGTGCCTTCCACAGGGGCTGGAATAATTTACATTCCCACCAATAGTGTACGAGCATTCACTTTTCTTTACATTCTCACCAAAATCTCTTGTTTATTGACTTTTTTTATTTTTGGGACAGAGTCTCACTCTGTCACCCAGGCTGCCATGCAATGGTGGAATCTCAGCTTACTGCAACCTCCACCTTCCAGGTTCAAGCGATTCTCCTCCTTCAGCCTCCCTTGACTTTTTAATAATAGTCATTCTGACTGGTGTGAAATGGTATCTCATTATGGTTGTTATTTGCATTTCTCTGAAGATTAGTGATGTGGAACACGTTTCTTGGCCACTTGTATGTCTTTTTTTGAGGTGTCTGTTCATGTATTTTGCCCATTTTTAATGGGGCTACTTGGTTTCTGCTTACTTAAGTTTCTTATACTTTCTGGATGTTAGACATTTGTTGGATGCATAGTTTGAGAATACGTTCTTTCATTTTGTTGATTGTCTGTTTACTCTGTCAATAGTTTTTTATCCTGTATAGATGCTCTTCTGTTTAATTAGGCCCCACTAGTCCATTTTTGTTTTGTTTACAATTGCTTTTGAGGACTTAGTCACAAATTATTTCCCAAGGCCGATGTCCAGAATGGTGTTTCCTAGGTTTTCTTTTAGGATTCTTGTAGTTTGAGGTCTTATGTTTAAATCATTAATTCATCTTCAGTTATTTTGTGTGTACGGTGAAAGGTGGAGGTCCAATTTCATTATTTTGCATATGGCTAGACAGCTATTCCAACATTTATTGAATACAGATTCCTTTCCCCATTGCATATTTTTGTCAACTTTGTTGAAGATCAAATGGCTGTAGATATGGTTTTATTTCTGGGTTCTCTATTCCATTCCATTGGTCTATATGTCTGTTTTTGTACCAGTACCATGCCATTTTGGTTATTGTAGCCTTACAGTATAGTTTAAAAACTGGTAACATGATTCCTCTGGCTTTGTTCTTTTTGGTTAGGATTAGTTTTGGTATTTGGGTTCTTTTTTTGGTTCCATATAAATTTTAGAACAGTTTTTTTTCAATTCCCTGAAAAATGATATTTGTTATTTGATAGAAATACCAGTGAATCTGTAAAGTGCTCTGGGCAGTATGCCATTTTAATGACATTGAATCTTCCAATCCGTGACATGGATTGTCATCTGTAATTTCTTTCAGCATTTTTTGTAGTTCTCCTTGTAGAGATCGTTCATCACCTTGATTAGATGTATTCCTAGGTTTTGTGTGTGTGTGTGTGTGTGTGTGTGTGTGTTTGTGTTGTAAATGTGACTGCATTATTGATTTTGCTCTCAGCTTGAGTGTTATTGGTGTATAGAAATGCTACTAGATTTCGTACATTCATTTTATATCCTGAAACTTCACTGAGGTTTATTGGTTCCAGAAGCCTTTTGGCAGTCTTTCAGGTTTTCTAGGTATCAGATAATGTCATCCACAAAGAAAGAGCATTTGAATTCTTGTCCTGTTTAGATGAAAAAAGATGCATATTTTAGATTCAGACCTAAAAACATTTTATTTTTGTTCTAGAAAATTCTATATGTTGGGTATTTATTTTTTCTTGGCTTCCTCATGGCAATGCTAGGGTTAGACTATTTCCCTTGTGGTCTAGTCACACCATAGTCACTGGTTATTAGACCTCCTAGGTCAACAACCGTCTGTAGGAGAGATACAGAATAGGGTTACTCTGGAAAATCATGTCCTATTAATTTCCAATCCAATCAAGTTCAAATCAAATTTGCCCTCTTTTGCATTGTATTATTTAGAAAGCTACAGATGGAATTTCAATATCCATCTGCAAAATCTGCTCTTTTAGTTAGGACTCTCATTTTGCTGGCACAGAAACACAACTCAAATTGGCTTATTCTAAAAGGTAAATGTACCATAAAGCCTCTAGATATTTTGTGTAAATCAAATACAGCAAGGTTGCTGTGCCATGAAATCAGAGAATGAAAATATTTTTTCTGACTCTTATTTTTGCTCCTATGTGGGTAAGTACTATACTCTCACTTCAGACTAATTTACTCTACAGATGCATCCAACATCATCTGATATTTTGATGTTATAGTTCAGACCTTTGGAAAATGACAATTTGCTCTGAATCTCAAACCCACAAATAACAGGCATGAGAATATTTGGCCCGGCTTGGATCAAGTGTCTACTTTAGAACTGGTTAATCAAGAACTTCCAAGGGTAGATTGCACTATAAAATAATGACTTCCATTGTAACCATGGATGATGTCAGGAGAAGTAGTTAAAAAAAGAAGAATGTGGTAAATCATTGAAAAAGGGATAGGTTCTGTTGGGCAGAAAAATAAGTATGTACACATCACCATATTATTTTTGCATTCAATGTGATCAAGATATCTAGTATTAGCAAAAGGTAAAGCAAGCAGTAATCTGCTAGCTTTGATTTTGAAGGATATTGAGAGGCTTTCTCATGCAATGCTATATGCCCTGACAGCTGGAGAAAAACTAGTATTATTAAGAGACTCAAAATTAATCTCAGACCTCACCTAGTCCAGGACCCTGAATTTTATATGAGGAAGTTGAGAAGCAAAGTGATTAAGTGATTATCCAAAAAAATCACATAATTTGTAATTGCCTGTGTAAGTCTGTTTTCACACCACTCTAAAGAATTACCTGAGACTGGGTAATTTATAAACAAAGGAGGTTTAACTGACTCACAGTTCTGCATGGGTGGGGAGGCCTCAGGAAACTTACAGTCATGGTGGAAGGTGAAGGGGAAGCAAGCCACATCTTACATGGCATCAGGAGAGACCTAGAGCAAAGAAAGCCACACATTTTTTAAACAATCAGATCTCGTGAGAAGTCATACACTATCAGGAGAACAGCAAGGGGAAAATCACCCCCATGATCCAATCACCTCCCACCAGGCCCCTCCTTCAATTCGACAGGAAATTTGGGCAGGGACACAAATCTAAGTCATGTCAGTGCCCCTAAGTTATCCAGCCACAAACCCACATATTTATTCCTTTCTCTTTGGGACTGGAGACTTTTACTCATTCAAGTATTTCCCATGACATAGTTTTCAAAGTTTGGTCTCCAGATTACCTGCATCAGATGATTAAAACTGTAGGCTCTTGAGCAACCCTCCTTAACTCCCCTAACATGGAATCACAAGACCCATTGATTATAGTCTATGAAATTGCATTCTTAACTAAGTCCCTGGGTGATTATTATGCATGCTGAAATTTGAGAGTAGTGCAGTGTGGTATTCCCAAGCTTTGGACAGAGAAGGATTCACTGAAAAATAATTAAAGCCCAGGAAGGACTAAAAGGATAACAGAGAAGCATCCCAAAAATGATTGAAAAGGTAAAAAAAAAAAACAACAAAAAACTAAAACTTTCTTAACCTACTTCAGCTTTTCCCCCATAAAATCACCTCATCATTGGTTTACTTTTATAAATTTTAATATTTAAATTGCTCTTTTGCACACAATGGAAGAGGTGATGTTGACGTTGAAAGATATAACTGTAAGTGAGAACCTCAAGTAATAGTCTATGTATTGGGTCCTCATACTGGTATTTGGACAATACTGGTGTTATTTACAAAATTTGCTTTTATGCAACCATTTTTTTCCTCCCTACTGTTGCATGCATTTGGGTCATCCTGTTGGACTACAATTATATGCATCTTAATGTTTTATGATTATGCTCTAGTATTACCGAAAATAAAATGCATAAACTCATATAAATCCTGTAGATGATTTCCTTTCCAAGTTTTAAATGATCGGTCTTTGCTGTCTAATTACAGAGGTATAAAAATTTAATAGCAATTCACATGCATATTATTGTGGTGCTACTTTCATTTTCATAACTCATTCTTTCTGGAGGAGTTTAAAGATTAACTTGATAGTTTAAAATTTATTGATATATTTCCTTATGCTCTAAAGGCAATTCTTTGTTTGTTTGTTCTTTGATGCAATTTGGAATAAAATGAAGTAATCTGCAGCTCCAAAAATATAAAAAGTATTCTGCATGAATTACTAAATCTTCAAGGTTGTTTCCTGTCTGAAAAGTACACTGTAATTTTTTTAGTGGCACTATATAGATTTCTGTAACTGTATATCTTTAAACTTTATATAGTGAGTTTTAAAAGTCTATATTTCAAATATGATGCATAGTAAAATATTTAAAAATATTAATAGTACACATTTTCTTGAAATGTTTTGATTTTTATGCTTTACATAATAATTCATTTTTAAAAAGCTTGAGAATACTCATATTTGGCATTAAATCTTTTTCTCATGTTTTTACAAATACTTGTCTATTTACACAAACATGAATATAACTTTCTGAATATATAATCAATCTTTGAAATCCACTTCACCGCAATGTGAAAATAGATTGGCTAACTCACATCTCTTTATTTACCTTTCATAGTCCATGGATTTGGGGAAGATTAAAAAGCATTTTAGTCTCCAGAATAATTCAAATTCTAAAAGCAAATAAGCAATGTTAAATTGTTCCATCAAATGACTTTATTACCCATTTTGTTTAATTATATGAATGAGAACCCAAAAATAAAATTTACATAATAAAAAACCTCCCCAAGCAGTCCATGTTCTTAAGGTATAGGATATAATTGAAGTGACTGATGTCAAGACCAACAGGTTATGACATGTGAAATAGTAAATGTAAGTTCCATGGATTACTTTACATTTGAAATTGTACTCCTAGAGTAGCCTAGTCTACAGTGATAGATGAATGAATATGTTTGTTATCTTTCTCTTGGAAGAAGATAGACTGTAGAAGATAGATTAGAAGCGATTACAAAGAATCTGGAGATGATCGATTGGGAAAATACCATTTATATGTATTACTTTGTTTAATCTTTGTTGTATAGTCCACATCTAAATGAATATTAGTTTAATTTTCTTTCCTCCTTTTATGGCTTTCCAGTATGACCTGAAAGGTACCCACACATATCATATTTAGAACTTTAGAGTATCTCTTTTGGACTCCAGAAAAATGTATACATATATAATTGTTAACATTATTGTTTACAAGTAGTTGATTCATTTTTAATGTCCAAGCTAATAATACGCCCTTATATTTCTTAAATAACATGATTATTCTGACCTTTGTAAATTCAAGGTCAAATGGCACCATGGAGCATTTTCTAATCTGCTTTAAATAATTTGAAAAATCATTTATCTCAAAACTTCAAACCTGTTTATCTACTGTTTCTAAGATAGTCTTAAGATTATATTCAGATGCATATTTGAAATGCCTCAGAAAAAGCTATATAAAAGAAGTAGCCCCCTATCACAGAACATTTTTCCTATCATAAAACTTCCTTTGTTATAACCATATTCCCAGTCCATTGTATCCTATTAGGAACATACACCAAATATAGAAAAGTTTGCCAACATACCACATGTTTAAAATGTGACACCCACTTGTCCTACTTCACATTGGCTAGCCTAGACAGGAGGCTTTTCCCAATAACAATTCAATGAGTAGTAGTATACATGCTCCTGACATGTGTCTGTCCTAGACAATTCCAGGAGAGAGTGATTTTCAAAGAGCTATTCACAGCCAGCAACTCAGTTTCCAGGACAGATATCTCACACACACAATCTTTGACACCATTTATCACTGAAATATTCTTTTTCTAGTAGAAGTAGATTGATTTTCTTGGATAATAATATTCTGCTGTGAAGTTACGAGAAGAAGTTGAAAGCATAAATATATCATGCAGCCTGGGGAATTGATACCTGTGTACTACCAGTTTTGCTGCTGCCGTTGCTGAAAATCCAGAAAGCCCAATTTGTTTGTTCCTGTTTAACTTAACCATGTCATCTGTTTCTCTTTTCTTTCGAGGAAGGTAGTTTAGAATGGAGACCTTGTTGACAAATAGTCCTTAAGAATTTTTAACTCATTTTTAATTGTGGTGGGCTGCTATAGATTCAGCATCGAGTCACAGTGTTTGAGTCAAATGCAGATGGTGTGGAAGTCAGGGTGAAAGGTGTTAATATTCATCATTGACCCTAACAAGCAATGCTTGTTATTGGTTAATTCAGCTAACCTCTCACAGCTGAATAATAACATGCAGTAAGAGGTGCATTTTTTTTTTAAATAAAAGGAAATGTTGGTTGTAAAGTGCTGAGCGTGGTGTTAGCTCATAGTTTTCATCATTTTACATGTAAGTTTCTTTCTTCCATCTTTCCCTCAAAATAATGCATTGCAGGAATAAAATTGCCTCACATGTCATAAATTCCTGGCATTATATTTATATTGCCTTGGAATAATTACCACCTTCTCATGCTTTAAAGTATAAATCTAAACCTTATGAGGTCAGTTTTACCTTGTGAAGGAGAGATCTAAAATTTTATCAGTATAGTTGCCGACTTGTCTTAAAGTATTAGGTTTTTTCAAATTTCTACAAAGTAATACTGGTATAGAATTTATCATTTTCAACTTAAAATGATTTTCTCTTCTCTCCAAAATGACAACTGAATTAGTGGCCATAATCTGGGAATTAGAGGAAAGCATCATTTGCTTATTTAATGCTTTTTCTTAAGAGTAGAAATCCTAATTTCTCCCACACATATGTTTGAATGTCACCAAAGTAAATTTTAAGGAGGGCTGATATTTGAAAAGTTATATAATCTCTCATCTTTAATGTTTACCCTGTGGCTTCATCTCCTTAATGAAGAAACAATCTCACATGCCCCCCCACCTTTAGCACAGGGCCACATATCATATTTTGGCATGTAATTTGTCATTTGTAATTCTTAGGCAATATTTTACAAAATGTTTAACACATGCCTGTTTTTACATTCTTCAAAAGATTATATATTCTTTCAATAGCATATAAATTTCAAATTTTTTAAATTGCACAAACATCTTAAAATTCAAAGCAATTATTTATTGTGTTTCACATTCTGATATGCCCCACCTCATTCTTTTCCTTGAAATCTCCTTTTTTCTTTGAGAATCACAACTCTAGAGCTTGTAGTTTTAATATGACACTTTCCACACATTTATGAATTGATCATCACTTTTCTGAACATTACAATATAGATAATAGTCTCTGAAAAGGTATTTAAAGAGAAAACTACTATGATAATTAAGGAAATTTTATGTATAATCTCTAAATCTAACCATAAGCGTATTTGTTGAATGGTGTAATATTCATACACAGACTAGTTTTAGAAAGGACATTTTCTTATATTTTGATTTTGAGGAACTCTGATTGATTCATCTCATTTTCAGAAAAGAGCTCTTCTTTCATGTGTGCAAAAATACCACATTTAATGTAATTCCTTCTTTCAATATACACAAGACGCATATGCATAATGTAGTAGCATATATGCCATTCTATCAGAATTTATTCTTTAAAGCAATTTGGCACTGGAATTCTTAGGCTCAGCTGGAAGATTACTGGGTATTATTTTCTTTCTATTGTGTATTTTTATTCATAATAAACATTAAGAGAACTCTGTGCATTTTAATTTCTGGTAACATTTTGCAACTGTTGAGCATATAGCATCGAAATTAAGCCAGTTTATTACTACACTTTAAAAGATTATTTTATTTATGACAGAATTATCAGTCATAACAACCTTAATAATATTTCAACCCTAATGTAATATCTGTTAGGTTATGACTAGACAATTTGTAACCTCTGTAGTATCAGGAAAATAACTTTCAGATATTTTACCATTAAAATGTATTCATCGGCCACAAACTGATCTTTTCATTAGCGATACGATTCAAGTTTGAAAAGAGAATGCAGAAATCTTCAATAATTTCCAGGCGGCAAAATGTGATTGAAAGTCATATCAACACACTTTGCAATTGGTAATCGCCATGACAAAATGCAACTAAAATGAGAAAGAAATCATCTTGATGACAGTGTATTTCCTCCTGTAAATTCTGCTTTTCTACGAACAATGGTCAATTAGACCAACTGGGTAGAAAACAGTCATTTTTTACTTCCATTGGTAATAAAATCGCTCATGATTTTAAAAAACTTATTTATACATATCTAGGTTTTGTAGGTGAGGGTCATGAATATTTATTTTTTAAAAAACTTCACCTATGATTCTAATGTTCAACAAGGACTAAAAATTACTGAGCATTTATTAAGTGAATACAAGGTGTACCTGGGTATTGGGTCACTTCATGGAAGCATTTTGAAAAGCATGTGTTCTCTAAGTAAAACGGAATGTAGAGACAGAATTTGGATTAATCTTGTTTACTTTTGTCTTTAGTCTCCTTTGCCCAGACATTTGATACAGTGTATTATAATAGTCTGGCCCCAAACTCCAGCTCCTACTTCATCTTTTCCTGTCCCTGTGGCTTCCAGCTCTCCAATTACTCCTACTCTGCTGTTCTGCCAACTGGCGAAACTCATTCTGGCTTCAAGACTTTCCACTGCCCTTTCCCCTGCCTGATGCATCCTTTCTTCAGATTTCACTTGATTCACTCCTTCACATTGTTTAGTGCTCTGATCAATCATGACCTCTCAGAGAGACCAGCCTGGCCACCCTAGGTAAATAAGACCCTAGCTCATCATACTGAGGTTTTCTATATCATTTTTATAGACTTTATTAATATGTGAAATTATCTTGTTTGTAAATATGTTTATCTGCTTATTGCAGGTTTCATCCTCACTTGCCCTCCAGTATAAGTTTCATGAGGACAGAGATTTTATTTTCACCCTTACATTCTGGCATACTCTAGATGCTCAAATAGTATTGTTGGAAGAAATGAATTGAACTTGAACAAAAGGCCCAATTTTCCTTCTATGATCGAGGCTCTTCCTGATCTGGCTTTGGCTTTGCCTTGGAATTCTCCCCCATAACTCTTCTCATGGTTTTCGCCTTAGGGATTCAACATCAATGCCTTCTAGAGCCACTTGTCTTAAAGATCTTTATCCTTATTATTTTGTATCGTAGCAATCTATTCATTTCCTTCTTAGCATATATTGTGGTCTACATTGCTTTATTTATTTGTCTGTTCACCAATTTATAATTATTTTATTCACTTGTTCTTTCACATATTTATATTATTTTCCCTCAGAATATAAGTTTTTTGGAGGTAAGACTTTCTCTCTTGTCCATTGCCATATCCTTAATCTTTAAGAAATTAAAAAATCTAGGGAGGATGGATTAAGAAATAATTAAAACGTAATGAAAGAGATATATCAGAAATGTATCCTGACTGTAGGGATAAGATAGAGAAGACAGCAATTAATACTCCACATGGAGAATCAGGAAAAGCAGGAGAAACAAAGAATGCTTCCTCAATTAATCGAGTGGGTAGATGGTGGTGCATCTCAAGGCCTCAGATTCAGTCATGTAAAAGGAAACATTTTTGTCTATCTCAGTAGTGAGAAATGGTGAGGAAGGGGCCTGAGGATACTAGTGAATACTTGGAGTGGTCAGTAGAAGAAATGAGAGAGGATATTGTTTGTGTGTTCTTGGTCAAATAGAGAACTCTTTTTAGATAGACAATAATGCAAATCATTCTGTTCTTGAGTTATAATTGGCAAATGTAAATCTGACTATATATTAATATTTATTTTTCTCATTCACATTAAAACATTATGTATTTTTATATGACTACTGTACAATGGAAGCATGGACCTCAATATATAAACAACACTAATGTCAGCCCATGTAACATTAAAATAGTGTTATTTGGCGAAATCCTGTAAGCAAAGGAACAGCGGAATAATACACATGATTCTTGACCTCTCATAAGCGGTATTCATAAACTGGGCATAGCTGGACTGGATAAACTCTGGTGAATTTCCCAGTAGAGAGGGACTCTGCCCCCATAATCCCATATTTACAGGAAAAGAGAGACAAGGAACCTCTATGTGACTATACAACAGTGGGTGCTACCTGGCAGAACTGGCCTTGTTAGAAAGGAGTAACCTCCAAAATAACACAGACCTGCAGAACCAGCTTCTTCCTAAGTTATCAAAAGTGGGGAAGTAATGAGCATCAAGAACAAACTGATTTGTTTGTTTCCAATTATGATGGTGATACAGACAAAAGGCAGGGAAATAACTGGGTAGAAGAAGGTGGCTCTCTGGCAAAGTCCCCACCCTCGAGCCTGGAAACCACATCCCTAAATGAGAACAGTAATCCCTGTTTTTCTGCCAAAATATTACTTTTTTGGCCTGCCCCACACCCCTTCCTGTGCCCCTATAAACCGCAAATGCCACTGGCAGAGGAGCAGAATGGCAGGGCAGAGAAGGAGAGAAGAGAAGCAGCATCTGAATGTCAAGAGGATTTTGGCTGTGGATGGTCAGAGAGGAGTTCAGCCAGGGACAGCCAAACTCCAGGGGAAGATTATCTTCTCACTCCATCCCCTTTCCAGCTCCCCATCTTGCCGAGAGCCACTTTCATCACTCAGTAAAATCTCCGCATTCACCATCCTTGAAGGCTGTGTGACCTGATTCTTCTTGGAGGCCGGACAAAACCTGGGTGCCAAGAGGGCAGAGTGTAAAAGGCTGTCAACCAGTCTCTCCTCTGAGTTGGTAAACATTTAGACATCCGTGGTTGGCAACTGCTAAAAGAGCATCTATCGTCACACAACCCTAGATGCTGCTGTGGGCTTGGAGCCCAGAAGCACTTGCCCAGGCCCTGGTACTCGCTCACCTGCATGCTTCCCCTCCAGCAAGAGGTTTGAGTGCTGGGGCCCAGTAAGTGAGCCACACCCCTGTCACAAGTCCTGCAAAGGGATCAAGGGAACCCTCCTGTCTCAATGGGTCTACTTCCTTCATGAATGTGCGTTTTCATTTCCATACATATCTAATTAGGTGTTAGAGCATTGATTGTAAGTCCCATAGCTATAACTGAACAAGTGAATCTAAATTTAAAGTGGGCATTTCAAGAACGGCTTGACTAAAACAAATTTACATCTAAAGAAAGATGGTGTAATTTTTTTATTTACCAATTTTGAAAATAAGTTATTCCTTTGTGTTGAAGCTAAAAGGTAAAAAAATAAAAGATAAATGTAGAAATAAAAATAAGTTACCTAAGGCACACATGCCCACACACACATACACATATGCTCCTGCACTGACATATATATGATTAGGAAGCTTTTTAAAATATGATAATAAGTGTCTCAAATGTAGCTTTCTGTTTTCTACATTATTCAAATCATTGATGTGGAAGGAAATGAAATATGCAGATAGACACATTTGCAATTTACTCTTAATTTTGTAATTCTGAGTGCTAATAGTTACCTGAAATGTCACTACAAGATAATCAGGCTGGGCATGGTGCCTCATGCCTGTAATCTCAGCACTTTGGGAGGCCAAGGCAGGAGGATCCTTTGAGGTCAGGAGTTCGAGACCAGCCTGGCCAACATGGTGAAACCCTGTCTCTACTGAAAATACAAAAATTAGCCGGGCGTGGTGGCAGGTGTCTGTAATCCTGGCTACTCGGGAGGCAGAACCAGGAGAATGGCTTGAACTCAGGAGGCAGAGGGTGCAGTGAGTGGAGATCCCGCCACCGCACTCCAGCCTGGGCGACAGAGTGAGACTCCGTCTCAAAAAAAAAAAAAAAAAAAAAAGAAGATTATCAAAGTGCATGTGGTTATTACTTGGCTTCCTAGATATAGTAATGGGTACATTTCATTTTTGTATATTAACTGTCCTTAACAGGCACAGGTTTTATTGTACAGTCATGGCATAGGAGTGTACGTGTTGATCAATGACATAAATGTATGGTTCAGAAGCACACATTTATTTGTATGATTGGAAAGATTTGTAAATGTTGTTTATCATAAAGTTGGCATTTCAAATCACAAATTTGCACTATTTTCTTGCCTTTTTCTGTTAAAAGGGAAGTTTTCCAACTTACATTACATATATATTCTAGATGATACAGATAATTTTAATTTATGCATGACATTTCTTGAGCCTTTATTAAGTAGAAGTCATTGTTCCAATAATGTAATCTTCTCTACAACCCTATGATGCAGGCATTATTATGATCCCTATTTTGCTGATAAAGAAACTGAGGCACAGAATGATTAACTAAACTCCTCAGGGTTATAAATGTGAAGAACAAGTAAACAATCTCTCTACAGAGGTCCACAGTTTTCTTCTTAAAGCAAATCTTGATTTTGAAAGTGAGGTGTTGTGGTGAGTTTTCAAATTACAATACAATTTTTAGCAATCTCTAGAAATATTCTTCCAACCATGCAAGTGTAAAGGGTATTTACCTCTGCATTATTTTTAAGAATAATTGAAGTATATAAAAGACCAAGAAGTGTCAAGAATAATGAGCATATTTAATATATACCTGTGTTAGAATCTTGTGTAAACAAAAATAAATTATAAAAAAAAACTTATAGTATGATCCTATTTTGATAGAAAAATGTGTAGAGTACATTTGTATATACAAAGATACTGTGTGGAACTATATAAAATAGATGTGCAACATAAAATATTCTGAAATGTTATAAACTAGTGATTAAACATAAGAAGTGGAGTTGAGAGAAAATGATGGTAATACCCACGTCTTAAACTTACTCTTCAGTTTTTATTTGATTGTTTTTACTAATTATTCTTTTTAGATTAAAAAATTACATTGTTTGGAGTATTTAGAAAAAAAAAATGCTGGTTCTTACCTTTGTCTCTGCATCTATAAGAAAACCTATCCATTATTTAAGTACCTTGAAATACAACACTTAAACTATTGCACATAACTAAATAACCCTGTGAGATTCATTGACCAATTGCATCATAGTCTCTTCTACCAGGACTTTACATCAATAATAATATTGATAATGAGATTATTTCTGAATTATTCACATCTTTTTCTTATCCTAACTCAAACAGGAAATAATAATGAATTAGGAAATTATAAGCTTGTGTTTAAATTTCATCACTATATGATAGCAGATGTCATACTGCATCTTTCCATTTCCAAAATCAGTAACATAATATGGAAAATTCCCATTTTAATCAAATTGAATTTAAAAGAAGGTATGAATTTTTATGGTATGAAAGTGCTTGCGGTGATTTTTAATATCAAATTTGCCTAACACCCTGCAATTCTCAGTGTCCCAGCAAATATTTGCATGTGGCAATATGCTTGAAACCCCATTGTGCTTTCCTTGGGCAGTATTAGAATTTTGTGTGTAGGAATTTCTTTAATATCAAATAGGCCAATTTGTAGTCTCTTCTAGCACTGAATTTCTTATGTTGCAGAGTCTCCTCAACCTCATCAGCAAAATAGTGATAATATTATTGTCTCATGGGGTAGTTTTAAGGATTAAGCTGAATTATAAATGATACTACTAGTACAGATTCAATGTACAGTAAATTTTAAGTAAGTATTAGTTCCGCTCACCATCCCTATCCCCCTTAAAAAGAAACTAAGCTGTGAAACCTATACTAACTTCATTCACCTGGGGTACACATATTTTAATCAATTTCTACCCTGATTCATTATACTCTAAAACTCAAAGTTTTTAATAATGAAATACCACAAAAGATACTAAGAGATGGATTGCCCACGGGAACGGAAAATCGGTGCACCATAGTGCTAGAAGACAATATTGTAGGATTTAAGTCAAAGAACATCAGTTCAAATTCCTACTTGCAACTTAATAACTCTAACCCTCTGTTTTCTCATTTGTAAACTAAGAATGAAAGCAACTATCCACAGAGCAGTGCAATCTATTGGTTAAGATCATGGATTCTGGAACTGAATTTCTTGGGTTCAAATCCTGGTACCTCCACTTCCTAGCTGTGTGACCCTCCACTTCCTAGCTGCGTGAGCTTAAGGAAATTTCTTAAACTCCATGAAAAATTGTCCTTCTCTAGCAAGCAAAAATTAGAATGTAACTTTGTCATAGATATTATTGTGAGGGTAAAATAATATAATATGTGGAAAATCTTTCAAACAATGTATCTATAGTAATTGCTGTGTAAGTACTTATTGCTTTTGTAATTGTTTGTACTATTATCAGACTGTTTTGAGGATTAAACACACAATATTCCTAGTAGTATATTTTTGATGTAAAAAGTAGCCTAGAATCATTAATTTTGGGTACCATTTCTCTTATTATGTACCCCTTCTCATAAACATTACAGAAATTCACTTGGAAGCCCAGGTAGTTATGGGATTTGGTTTCTGTCTAGGAAAAAAAATGTGTTACCAAATAGTTACATTGAAACAAATTACAGCCCTACATTGTTGAAATCATACAAACTTCACATAAATTTCTAGAATCTTTTGAGTAGAAAATATTTCCAGGAATTTTCTGACAATAGAATAAAAACTAATAAATATATCAAATTATTATTATTAACTAGGTCATACTATTTAATAAAAAAGCAAAGTGTGAATTTCATTTTTATATAATTTTATGCATCTTGAAACATATTTAAAGGAGAAAATTTAAAGTCATTTTTTCAATAACAGTTTTATTGATTATACAGTTAATACATAATTCCCATTCTCTTTATGCTTCATATAGAATAGGAGAAACACTGATTTTCAGAAATGTTAATAATTAGCAAATCTAATGTATCTTGCTATGATGAAGTGTGAACAAGTAGACAAACATATACACACATAAAAAGAAAATTTAGTTTTTAGTCATTTTTCTAAATTCTAGAGAGATGTCATTTAATCTTTATTAAAATTTAAACTTTTAGGGCAAAGAGAAAACTGTATAATCATATCTCTGACCTTTCTGACACAGAGATATGCTAATTTGCAATTCATATAACCAGCATAATTTTACTTGTCTTTTTATAAACTTATTTAAATATGAGTATACATCCCTGGCATGTTCCTAATTGTAACTGATATTAGACAAATACATCAACTAAAGGTGATAATGAGCCAAATTATTAGATATCAGAAGGTTATGCATTAATCATGGCTTTGACAATGACTCCTGATGTAGAACTATAAAACTGTATTCTTTTTTTTTTTTTTTTTGAGACGGAGTTTTGCTTTCGTTGCCCAGGCTGGAGTGCAATGGTGCAATCTCGGCTCACCACAACCTCCACCTCTCGGGTTCAAGAGATTCTCCTGCCTCGGCCTCCCGGGTAGCTGGTATTGCAGGCATGCACTACCACACCCAGCTAATTTTGTATTTTTTAGTAGAGACAGGGTTTCTCCATGTTGGTCAGGCTGGTCTCGAACTCCTGACCTCAGGTGATCCGCCTGCCTTGGCCTCCTAAAGTGCTGGGATTACAGTCGTGAGCCACCGTGCCTGGACTAAAATTGTATTCTTAAACCCCAATTCCTTCACTGTAGAGTTGGATCTGTGGATAACAATAATTTACTACTCATGTCTCTGCTTTTATTGAAGAATCTAAACATTTAGAGAAATATTCTGATTCCAAATCCTTAGTACTTACTCTTATGCCATGCGACAATCTTTCAATAATTTTCATGGGATCATCTTTTTTTAGATTTCTTATGACCTCTAGGATAAAAAAATTTACAAAAGTACAAGTCTAAATGTATTTCTGTGGAGTTAAAGGGTGCCATCATTCTTCTCTTTGTTGTAACAAAAGACAATGAAAAGGGTTACATAGTCACTATGTATTACATATGTCTACTATATATATTTTCATTAAAACTTAAAAGGCTTAACTTTTTTTCAATATGGTTGCATCTTATTATTTATTACTGATCATCATCCACAGAGCCCTTGACTCTCTCCAACTCTATGATGGTAACAGGCATATTCAAATGACAGCTCACCATTGAGAATTATCAAACTGGCTTTCTAGTTCTCCAGGCTCACTTATCACAGCAATTTCTATCATACTGATATACTGAAAGAGTGCATTGCTAAGTGAACTATAACAGATAAATAAACATTTCCCAATGGTTGGTCCAGTTCTCATACTGAAAGAGAATTGTAGCTCAGATAAAACATCCCTTTCTCCCCAGCACTTCCCAAAAGACATTCCATAAAGTCCTAATTTCACAAGGACAGCAAAAATAGTATATATGGTAAAATAAATTACGGAAATATTGTCTGCTCTATTCCACTGTTATACAATAATATTTCCAAGACTTTGAAAAGTATAAGCTGTTTAATTATTATCTTTCAGCAGATATTATCCCCTTTATTAGGAATAGAAATGGCTATTTTATCAATATTTTATAAGCTTTATTGGACCAACCATTGGGGAATGTTTCTTTATCTGTTATAGTTCACTTAGCAATGCACTTACGTCTTTTTTAGATATGTACTTATATTTTTTGCCATATTCTAGCCTTACATGTTTTCAATTTCTTCAATGTCTTCATGAATTTCATCTCTCAAATCACTTATTAGATTCATTCATTTATTCAGCAAATAGTTATGGACAACTGTGCATAAGGCCTTTCTAGGTATGAAGGATACACCATTGATGAAATGTAAACATCCTTCTCCTGTAGATTTACCTTTCCATAGGGACTGGGAAAACAATAAATTAACGTTAATATATAATAAGTAAATATGCATTAATATATAATAAGTAAATATGCAATATGTTAGATGATAATTGCTGTGAGGAAAAATAAAATAACATAGGTGGCCAGGAAGTGTGAAGGTGGCTTCCATTTTAAATGATGTAGTCAACTGAGGGAAGTGAGAGAGGTGAAGGAGTCAGTCATGTTGGTGTCTCAAAGATGTGTTCTTCAGGCAGAGAGAACCAAAATCACAGATGCCAAGAGTTCAGTGTATTCCTGGTTCATTCAAAGAACAGCAAAGAGGCCAGAAAGCTAGAAAGGAATGAGCAAGAGGAAAGAAAAGTAGAAGACAACGTCAAATATGTAACAGAGAACCAGGTCTTCAGAGATCTTACAGGCCAATGTAAGGATGCAGGTTTTTACTCTGTGATTTGAAAAGCACTGCAGGCTTGTGTGCATAAGAGCTAGATGATCTGACTTAGTTTTAATAGAATCATTTTGATGCTGTATTGGGACTAGGTTGAAGGTGATCAGAAGTGGGGAGCAGAAGCAAGGAGATCACTTTGGATGTTACTACAGAAATTAAGGTGAGATGGGATGATGGTTTGAATCAGGTTTTAACAATGGCAATCATGGCTGATGGTCAGATTCTGGATGTATTCTGAGGCAGTATTTATAAGCTTTCCTAACAGAATTAAGAGTGACTTGAAGCTTTCAGACCTTAAATAATTGGGAGGATAGAATTGCAGTTGTCTTGATTGTAGAACACGTTTTGGTAGGGAAAATGAGGATCTAGGTTTTTTGTTTTGTGTTGTTTTTGAGATGGAGTTTTGCTCTTGCCACCCAGGCCTGAGTGCAGTGGCTTGATCTCAGCTCACTTCAACCTCTGCCTCCTGGGTTCAAGCAATTCTCCAGCCTCAGCCTCCTCAGTAGCTGGGATTACAGGTGCCCGACACCAAGCCCAGCTAATTTTTGTATTTTTAGTAGAGACGGGGATTTGCCATGATGGCCAGGCTGGTCTTGAACTCCTGACCTCAGGTGATCCGCCAGCCTCAGCCTCCCAAAGTGCTGGGATTACAGGCGTGAGCCACCATGCCCAGCCAGGATCTTTGTTTTTAATGTGTGAAGTTTGATAGGTTCATATCGAGTAGGCAGTTGAAAATAAATTCTGGAGTGTAACATAGATATCCAGGCTAGGAGTCATCAGCATAACGATGATACTTAAAATAATGGGATTGGATGAGATTTTTAGGGGTGTTCAAATAAACAGAAGAGGAACAAGGACAAAGTCTTGATAGTGGATCATTACAATATTAAAACTCCAAAATATAAGTAGGAACCCGAAAAGCAGACTGAGAAGGAAAAGTAAATAAGACAAGAGAAAATGTAGGAGATCAATGGATTTCAATGCCAACTAAAGAATTTTATACTGCAAGGAGTGATAATACTTCTAATATTTTAACTGTATTTATGAATATCATCTTTTTATTTTCAGCATTTTTGCCATCCCACTATTTTTATTCTCAGCATTTTACAACCACACCTTAATTAATAATTTAAATAAATATAATTGAGCTCCTAAAGAAAAGGCTATGTGTGACATATTCACATGTACCCATATTAGATATTATACTAAGAATGAAATCTTTAAACATCTCACAATCATTTCATACAGATAGACATCTTACCTTTATGATATAATAAATGTTCTAAGGAAAGATTCAGAACTTGAGTTCTGTAACAGAAGAGGAGGGTGAAAGGAAGTATGAGGAAAATGCACCAAAAATGAGATGCTCTTGGCCGGGCGCAGTGGCTTACGCCTGTAATCCCAACACTTTGGGAGGCCGAGGCGGGCAGATCACCTAAATTCAGGAGTTCGAGACCAAACTGGCCAACATGGTGAAACCCCGTCTCTACTAAAAATACAAAAATTAGCTGGGCATGATGGAAGGTGCCTGTAATCCCAGCTACACAGGGGGCTGAGGCAGGAGAATTGCTTAAACCCGGGAGGCAGAGGTTGCAGTGAGCCAAGATTGCACCATTGCACTCCAGCCTGGGTAACATTGAGATTCTGTCTCAAAAATATATATGTATACATACATATATATACACACATACATACATATATATATACACATACATATATATACACACACATATATACACACATATATATGATGCTCTTCTTGAGTCTTAAAATGTTATGCATTTTTTCAAGAACAGAAGAAGGACTGGCAAGATTCCAAGTACGGAGCAGAACATATAGAATGCTCTTTGGAGGAATGAGAAAGCATATCCCATTTTGAGAGCAGCAGGTACCTTGTTATGGCCAGGGCTCAGGGCCATTACAAGAGAGAAACAGCACTGTAAATGATGAGAATCATTAAAGGATTTTAACTAATATAAAAGAAGTGTGTATTTAAAACAAATTCTATTGATAGCACTTTGGGGGTAGAACTGGCTACAGGTAAGATGAGTCAATATGTTATTGTAGTAACTCAGTGAATTTTCTTGGAGATGAAAGGTAAGCAAGGGAAGTAGGATCTGCAGAGAGGGGTGAGTTTACACAGAATATGATAGGAAGTAGAAAGAGCCTGCTTCTGTGATTTAATAAAAGAGTATGAGATAAATAAATCTAGATGACTATCAAGTCTCGGTTAATGAGAAGTAGAACAAAGAAGGAAAAACTGCTGTCTGTGTGTGTGGGGGTGTGAGGTGTGAGTGTGCACATATGTATTTGTTTTATAAGTGGGGAACAGAAAGAAGGTTAGCTAAATTTTACCAAAATCTAGGTTTGGGTCTATGGTGCCTGCAGAAAATAAAACAAAATTAAAGTCTCTAGAATTCAAATGAAAAATTTTTGCTTGGGGTATAGAATGTGATACCATCAGCATACAGGTGAATCTGAAACCATGAGAATACAGTGGAACACTCAAAAGAGCATTTAAAATGACATCGAAAAAAGTAAATAATAAAACCCAGGGGGAAATACTGATTGAGGACTGGTAGAGGAATAGAACACCAGAAATAGGCTGGGCGCAGTGGCTCACGCCTGTAATCCCATCACTTTGGGAGGCCAAGATGGGCTGATCATGACGTCAAGAGTTTGAGACCAGCCTGACCAACTTGGTGAAATACAATGAAATACCTATCTCTACTAAAAGTACCTATCTCTTAGTAGAGTAGAGTAGATTAGGTGAAATACCTGTCTCTGCTAAAAATACAAAAATTAACCAGGTGCAGTGGTGAGTGCCTGTAATCCCAGCTACTCAGGAGGCTGAGGCAGGAGAATCACTTGAACCTGGGAGGTGGAGGTTGCAGTGAGCCGAGATTGAGCCATTACACTCCAGCCTGGGCGACAGAGCAAGACTCCGTCTCAAAAAACAAAAACAAAAACAAAAAACCCACCAGAAATATACTGAAAAGAAGTAGTACTGAGGAAGAAGAAGTAGTTGTGTAACAAAACCAAGGAAAAATTGCATTTCCCAAATTAAAAAATAGTTACTGGTATCAAATATTATAAAGAAACTCGGGACCAAAGAAATGAGAATGTTAAAAATGGCTGGAAAGTTTTGAAATTACAAGTGATTGTCACTTCAAAGATTGGTGATATAATTGTACTTTTCATATTGATACTATTTTTACATAAATATTAAATAAGTATGGTGGTAAGTCGTTGCTGACAATGGCATGGCACTTATATGTGACTTATGAGAATATTACAAAGCCTGACAACCTTTGAAAAACCTTAATAATCACAGTTGCAAGAATTTAGTCGCAAACGTTTGAAAAGTTTGCGAAAAGTTTGAAAGTTTTGTTTCATTGGCCTATCACTCAAAAGCACATTTAAAGTTTTTTCTTTGAAATGGAGTTGTTCCCTCAAACATTGCTATTGAATTGGTAGTTTAAATAATTCTTTTCTTGTTAACCAGAGTCAATATGATCTGAAGTTAAAATGTTCATAATTGTTATTTTATAAATTAAAATATATCTTTAAAAGTATATGTAAATGTTAAAAAAAGACTGCCTAAAAAACCCCTGAAACAATGTAAAGCTATGTACATTACAAGTTCTGTCATCTACTGTATACTGCCTATTCTTTGCTTATCCTCTCCACCCACTCCACAGCTGACAATATGAATGAACGGCTGCTTTTTCTTTCAACTCTTTCTTTAAGGCCAGATCTATTATCATCGTCCTATAGAATTTTCTGAGGTGACAGAAATATCCTGAACTGTGTTGCCAATGCAAGAGGCACTAGCCACTTGTGGCAACTGAGTTCTTGAAATGTGGCCCATGTGGCATTTTAAATTTTATTTAATGTGAATTTGAATTTGAATTTGGATGATGGCACGTGGCTACCAATGATTAATGTATTAAAATTTTGAGTACTTATTATATATTAGGCACTGTTATAAGAAATGTAGCTGTAGCCGGGTGCAGTGGCTCACGCCTGTAATCCCAGCACTTTGGGAAGCCCAGGTGGGCAGATCAGCCAAGGTCAGGAGTTTTGAGACCAGCCTGGACAATGTGGTGAAACCCCATCTCTACTAAAAATACAAAAATTAGCTGGGCGTGGTGGTGGGTGCCTGTAATTTCAGATACTCAGAAGGCTGAGGCAGGAGAATCAATTGAACCCGGGAGGTGGAGGTGTACAGTGAGCTGAGGTTGCTCCAGCCTGGGTGACAGAGTGAGACTCCGTCTCAAAAACAGAAATAAATAAATAAATAAATAAATAAAGCTCTATTAATCCATTGAATTCTCACAACAAATATATCAAATAGGTACGATTATCTTCATTTTAGATATGAGAAAATGGGCATAAGAGGTTAAATAAATGATTTAATAGCAACACTGATAAATTCTGTGTTGTCTGTTCTGCACTGACTAGTACCAGTCACTAAGCTAAGTACTAGTCACTAGTACAGTAACAATACATCACTTAAATTGGTCATGGTCAGTAGTGTTCTGATCTATTAGGGTGTGTTATGTTCTTATCTCTGATTTTTAGGTTGAGAAACAGTCATGAAAGAGGTTAAGTAACTTTCCCAAGGTCATAATCAGTCAACAGAAGGGCCCAGATAGAACAGCCTAGCTGACCTCAAAACTTGCTTTCTTCACTGGTCAAATGAATTCCTCATAAGAAGCAAAAGAAGAGTTGAAGTTCTGACTGGGTCAAAATAACTATGAATCCATTTTCTTGGGCTTCTTTTCATCATTCCCCCACCCCCAATAACAACAGAGAGCACCTTCACTTTAAGAAAACTTCCCTTCGCTCCCCATTTCCTTTCCCACCACAAAGAGAAAACTCCTGCCTCTTAATACAGTCCAGAAATAATCTTAATATTTTAAAGAGCGTCTCCCATTACACAAGAACAGAATGGCAGAACAGTGGTAAACCGTCAATCCTGAATTTGTTAATAAGTGACTCGGATCACAGCTCCATTGTTAGAGACCTGGTATCCATTAAGAGGCTCTGCCCACCTGCTTCTCCTTTATCTCCGCACCTGCCTTCCGCTGACAGAGGAGATTAATCCTACTTGTAGAAGAAATGTTTCCACTTTCCACTGAGAAGGAAAATGTTTCATAATCTCGCTGTAGGAAATTTGGCCATATTACTCCACTGGCATTCTTAGACTTCCTGCCTGAATATCGCTCAAATTGTAACTTTTGGCAGCGCTGTGTGTTACAGACTTGATATTTTAATACGAGGTGTTCTTCAATAACTTAATAGATGACATTTTACAAACTAAAAATTGATTTTTTTGCCTTCACACACTAATCTTGAATCACTGAAAATCTATAATTATACCAATTAAAATCTAAATGTATTGGCTTGAAAACACAATATACTGTGATTAGTTGTCATAACTCTAAAATTCACTGAGTTCAAATCATGATTTATTAGAACTGAACTCATTTCATATCTGAATTATCTTTTTTTTTATTTGATTGATTGGCCATATTGTTATTTGGGTTCTGACAGAGCATGGAGGAATATTGTGCACCAGACATTAATCAGGAAATTATGCATTGCTTTCACAACTGGACTTTACTTTGTAATATTGTATTAGCTCTTAACATGCAAATTATTTTAGGTAATTACCTCATTTTTCAGTGGGCATTTGATGGATAGAAGTTTCATGCAGATTCTTCTGTGTAATTTAAAATCTTGTGGTGATTTGTTTCTTTGCATGTTCATAAAAATCCCAGTTTGAATTGTCATACATCAGACCCATGAGGTCAGCTGTAGAAAATCTTAATTGTAGAAGCTCATTTTCCTAGTTTCTTTTAACCCTAATTGAGGCTGGCAGTCACCTCTTTCCAAATGTAAAACTGTGCCCAGGATTGTGTTTTTCTATCATTGAAGTAAAAGCTGAGATACTTTCTAGTCCATGGACATATCATAGTACACAGTTACAGATAGGATTCACTCTTTCTAGCCAGTTCAACTAGCTGAATTGCTGTTATTCACTTTGTAAAGTACAGCCTTAAATACTAACTGAAAATTTTATGTTGCAAATGGATGTCTCTATTCCCCAGTTTTAATATTAAATAATTCAGCTAATATTCAAAACACAATAGCTTGTATTAATATTGCAATATAGTAAATAAAATAGATAGGCTATTCTTATATATGTCATATTTGTAGTTTTCAAACAAATATAAGGTATTAGCAGACCTCTGATCCAGAGTTTTATTAGATATATTCACATATGTGAACTGCCCAGAACATTTAGATCATTCTTTCCCCATATTTTTCAATCTAGCATGTCATATAATCATGAATATTTGTTG
Organism: Homo sapiens; assembly: GCF_000001405.40. Taxonomy (NCBI): domain Eukaryota; kingdom Metazoa; phylum Chordata; class Mammalia; order Primates; family Hominidae; genus Homo; species Homo sapiens. The sequence goes on from NC_000005.10 coordinate 165,000,111, forward strand.
TGATCTTGTCTATTCAGAAACCTGCTGCTGTAAAATAGCTTCCTCATAAATGTCAAGTAATGTAAAATTGAATGCCTATATTTAAATAGATTTTAACAGATAATAAAACTCTTGAGATTAAAACGGTTTCATTCAGGGAGGCAGACAATTCTTTCCACAGTGTGCAATTTATGTGTCATGTTATATAAAATACAATTTTAAAAATACATTTTAAAAAGCACAAATGAAAAATATCTATTGAATTAAACAAAAAAAGAAGCTAGGAAGCTAGTGTTCTCATTGCAGGTCTAGTTGAAAATGTGAAATAGAACGACAAAGTACAAACTTCTATTTTCTAAACATTGTTCTGATGAGATCTGCTTTCTGCTAATTCCTATGGGGGTTATTCCAGAGATTCAAGCTATCAAAACAGTGTTTTTACTCACAACCTAACCTTTCTTCATTTACAACAAAACAAAGGAATTAGAGAATTTTGACACACTGTGATATGAGGCATAAAAGAAAATTGCTTTTCCACTTATAGGTTTGCGTTTGGCACCTTATCTGCGAACACCCAGATATATCACAGTTTACAGTTGGTTCACCAGCACAAAGGATGTATCTTGTCTCTTGAGATAACAGCTTCTGACAGTCTTTCACTCACTAAATATTAAAATGGATGTGTAAAGTTAGATGTCTGATAAATAGTATTTTTTTAGATAGAGTTTTTTGGCTTAATACATATTCAGCAGTTTTTAATATGGTTGAGGTAGGAAAGGCTATATATTTTAATACGAGGTTTTCTTCAATAACTAATTGGGTAGAAAGCCTAATTAGGTTGCCAAAATAGTTTACACATGAGGGAAAACAGATCTCACATGTAAGTGACAGATGGATTCCAAAAGAGAGGCCAAATGCGAACGATGCCAGTGCTCCCAAGCCAGAGCCAACCAAGAGCATATCTGAAGTCAAAGTTGGGTTTATTGACTTGTTGCAAAGAGGAAGACTGCACACAGTGGGGAACAGTGGAGTTTCTTTATAAAAAAAAAAAAAAAAAGGTGTTAGAAGAGTCTCAGGAGAGAATAGAAGCTTGTGTTGGGTGACTTGAGGGAAGGTTCAAGGATGTGGAGACAGTTTTACGATTTGGGTATCCTAATAATTCTCATTTAGAAAGCAGGAAGCATGAAGCAATCCTGAAGCTGAAATCGGCACAGAAGCAGTAATCACTAATATCAGCAAGGATAGGGTGATGTTAGGTCTTTTTTGTTGTTTGAACAATATTCTACTTTTTGTCTGAGTTCAGATGTGCATTTATGGAGTTTTTGTTAGTTGGTTGTTTGGTTGGTTATTTCTCTTGATTCATCATGGTCACAGAGTGCCTTGCCTGATGTTTGAACAAGAGGCCACCCAGCTTAGCCGACAGTGTCCCCATCAGCTCCTGGATGGCAGGGCTGTTTTTCTCTTTCTCAAAAATATCACAAAAAGGCAATTGATGTTGGAAAGAGCTAATTGTATGTAGGGTTTGCATCCAGAGGGAAAAAAATCAACATTAAAGTTATACTCTAGGATCATTTCTAAATATGTCATTCCATCTAATTCTAAGAGTAAGATTATAGTATCCATCTTCATTTACCAGATGCAAATCTAGCAGTGGAAGTCAATTAGGTTATTTGCTTGCAGCCACACAGATAATAACAGGAAAGGCTAGGACTTAAATCTTGATCTCACAGATTCTGAAATATATCATTTTTCTCCTTCACCAATATATGGGTCATATACTTCAAGTTGGAATTGGAAGCAAGCTATGGTGTCACTGGCAGAATTTGATAGTCCGATATGGGGATGGATTTAGATTGCTTTCACTTTTAGTGCTTTTTTACCATGAATGTCTCAATTGTTAATAATCAATCCCCATCTTGTACTCTCCAAATCTGCTCTTGACTGTCCATGATTGATTCTGAGTTTCTTTTTAGAATGTTAAAGATTTGAGGCAATAGTGGAGCATCATTTAACCATTCATTCATTTATCTGTGGTTCACTTCTAAGTTTTTTTATTGTGAAACACAAAAAAGGACAATTAGTAAAAATGTACAACTCAATAATTTATGACAAAGTAGACACTTTGTAACCCCCAATGAAGTTAATAAACATGATCATTGCTAACACCCCAGAATTTCTCTTCATGCTCTCTCCTGATCATAACCTGTTTTTTTTCTCAATCAACAGTAACTGATATTTTGACATTGATGGTAATTATTTTTTTACTTTTCTTTGTATTATACCAAGTAAATTTGCATCCATACATATGATAAGTTAGTTCTACCTCTATTTTTTACACTATGTAAATGAAAGCATAGGGTCTATAATAGTATCTACTTTGTTTTGCTCAAAATTATGTTTGTGCAATTCATCCATGATTAATGTGTGTAGCTGTGGTTTGTTCCGTTTGATTGTTGTGTGGTGTTATTTTGAATGATTTTTAAAAATTTGTATACTTTAAAGAATTTTAAAATGTGTGTTAACAGTCTCCTATTGATAGACATTTGTTTTTTTTTCCAGTTTTGAGCACTTACACATTTTTGTAAATATTTCTTGATATGGATATGCCAATTTTGCTGTTCAGCAGGAGTGAAATTTCTGAATCTGATGATATGTCTATCATCTTCAAACTTTATAACTGATACCAACCTTTTTTCCAAAATGGCTGTACCAGTTTTTAGTCTTTCCACCACTATATAAACGATTCTTTTGTTTCAGATTGTTGGCATAATTGTCTTTTGAATTTTGGTCATTCTGGGATGTTATAGTAAGAAAAATTTCTGTGTGTTATAGTATTAATAATAGTAGTGTTTTACCTTGCATACCTCTGATTGTTAGCAATGTTTAATCAGTTTTTGTGTGTTTATTGCCCATCTGGACATTGTCCCTTGTTAATAATTCTCTTGGCCATTTGTGAAGGGGAAATAGTTCATTTTCTTACGGATGTGTAGGTGTTAGTTGTACATTCTGGATGTTAGCCATTAGAAATTATATGTTGCATTAGTTAGGATTCTCCAGAGAATTAGAATCAATAGGGTAAATAAAGATATATTAGAGGAGATTTATTATGAAAATTGTCTGACACAATCATAGAGGCTGGAAGTATGCAGAATATGCCATCTGCAAGCTGGAGAACCAGGAAAGCTGGTGATCTAATTTTGTCCTTGAAGGGTTGAAAGCCGGACAACCAGGATCTCCTATGTCTGAGAGCAGAAGATTTATGCCCCAATTTAAAAAGAGAGAATTTGTTTTCCTCTGTCCTTTATTTTTTTCCCTATCAGGGCTCTCAAGGGATTGAATGATGCCCTCTCTCATCTGTGAGGCTGGACTTTTTTACTAAGTCTACTGAATCAAACATTAATCTCTTCTGGAAACACCATCAGACACACCCAGTAGTAATGTTACCAGCAGTCAAGGCATCCCTTAGCCCAGTCAGGCTGAAGCATAAAATTTGCCGTGTCATATGTGTTGCAAATATCTTTTCCCACAATGCAGCTTATTTTCTACATTTTTAATGGTATCTTTTGGTGAATGGACGTTCTTTATTTTCCTGTAGTTAATTTTATTATTCTTTCTTGGGTTAGTGCTTTTTGGGTCCTGTTTTAGAGGTTCGACTACCTTGAGATGATGAAAATATTTTCCTGTTATCATTTAGAAAAACGTTTTCACATTTTAGTATTTAATTAATCTGGAATTTACTTTTGTATACAGTAGGGGCCAGATAGTTTTTTCATCCTTTCCTCTTTCAGATAACCAATTGTCCTTGCACTATTAATTGAAAACATCTTTATATCCACTGCTGTGCTGTGTTACACTGTCATAGTGAAGGGTCTATATATGTATGAGTCTGTTTCGGGGTATGTTATTTTATAATTTTAGTGTCTTCGGTTATTTCCTAGATTTGGACAACTATGGATAAATTTTCTATGAACACTTTTATTTCAGTCTTTGTGGGGATTTATGATTTTTTCTTTTTCTTGGGTAAATACCTTCCTTAATTTCTAATTTATTCCTAGTATTTCATATATTTGGCACTTTTGTAAATAGTATATTATAGTAATAAGTTTTACTTATTTGGTATTAGTATAGAGAATTTTTTTTAAAAAAATTTTCTTTTAAGCTAAAATTTACACTCATCAAAATTCACCACATTTAATCTACAATCTTATGATGTTGACACATGCATGTGGTTCGTAACCACCAACAAAATCATATGAAACAGTTCTTTGTAGTAAAACTCTTCCTCTAACCCTTACCCTGGAAACCACTGGTCTGTTTTCAGTCCCTTTAACTGTGCCACTTTCGGAAGATAGTACTTGTGGAGTAGTGCCTAAGAAATCTTCACTTAACCCATGGTCACAAAAATTATCTCATATATTTTCTCTTAGAAATTTGTCCTTTTAAATTTTAAGTTCTATAGTTTATTTTGAGTTAATTTTTGTATGTGATGTGAGGTATGCATTTTTTTAATAATATTTTCGGTTTCTTTACGAATGTGAAATAAGCTAGGCACAGAAGGACAAATATACGATCTCACTCATTTCTGGGAACTGGAGAAGCTGATCTCACAGAAGTACAGAGTGAATAGTGATTACTAGAAGATGGGGAGTGGAGGGGAGGCTGTAGAATAAGGGATAGGAGAGATTGGTCAACAGTAGAAAATAATAGTTACATAGGAGGAATAAGGTCTGGTATTCTACTGTACAGTAAGGTGACTACAGTTAACCATATTGTATTGTATATTTCAAGATAACTAGAAGAGAGGATTTTGAATTCCTCTCATTACAAAGAAATTATAGATGTTTGAGGCAATGAATATTATAAATACCCTGATTTGATGATTATATAATATATACAGGTATTGAATATGTATGTGTCAATTAGAAATAAAATAAAACTTTAAAAAAACTTATTATTTCTTTATTGAATAGCCTTGGCATCTTTATTGAAAATCAATGAGCCATTTATGTGAAAATATATTTCTGTTCTGTCTGATTCGAGTTATATTAATTTAATTGAGCTTTTTAAATAAATAGCTTTGGTTTCATTGATTTTCCTCTGTGGCTTTTCTGGTTTTCAGCTTTATAAATTTCTGTACTTATCTTTATTGTTCCCTTTTGGCTGTTTGAGATTAGCTTTCTATTTTTTTTGGTTTTATTTCTTAAGGTGAATGCATAAATAATTGATTTGAAACCTCCCTTATTTTCTGCAAGCATTTAATATTATGAATGTTCTTCTAAGAGATGCTTTGGCTGCATCACACAAATTTTGATATATTGTGGTTGTATTTTTCTTTAATTCAAAATATTTTCTAATTTCCCTTTTGTCTGCTTTTTTGACTCATGGATTATTTACCAGCATGTTGTACTGTGCTCTGTTTAATAGGGACACAGTTATTTGATCTAGTGCAAAAAAAAAAAAATAGAGTGCCTGAACCACAGAGAACAGGATAGTAACTATTATTAATCTGCAGTATTAATCACAAAACCAACTAAAAGCCCTATTTGGCAAATCCCTTGAACCCTGGTACCATAGATTGGAAAGCTATTGCAAGAATTATGTAAATATTAAATTTATAATGCCTAGTAAAAGTCCCTGCAAATTTTAAGTCCTTAAGTGTTTTTATTTTATTTTTTATTTATTTTTTTTTTTGCCATCCCTTTCTCACTGCTTCATTTTGCAATGCCAGCACCATGTATCACATGTTAATACAGGAAGAGAACTTTCTAATATTTTTCTAAAAGTTAATATATTCTTAAATGGTTAATAAAATATAAAACTGTATGCTTTATGGTAACCTCTTTGCACCATTTAAATCACAAAAACAAAATTTAAAGAAGGAAAAGTACTAGCACTAGGTAAAAACATTATATATTTTTCCAAACAGTGTTATAATAGTGTATTTTTTTTTCTTAAAAGACTAGGTTTCTTAGTGTGTTGGCATTTTACAAATCAGTAGGATATTGGTGAATTACAAAATGGAAGTGGGACTCACGTCTATATTTTTTGCTTTTTCTTTCTTCATAGTTAAATGGAAGTACTGTTGAACGCATTTATTCACTCATATTTGGTCAAGATCTTGACAAATTTATTGGTTGCTGGATACTTTTATATCACTACGAAAATTTCTGAGCTTTCTTCAGGACATGGCTTAGTTGGAAACAACTTGATTCTTTCAGGTCTTGCTTTTAAGCACTAATTTTCTTTCCTAGTGAGACAAAATCCTTTGCATTCTAACCTGCAATCCTTGAAATAGGAGGTTTTCTATCCTGGTTGGTGTGAACAGACACTTATCTCAATCATGCTTAAACATCAGCTACTGTTCTTTCAGGTGTTTCTTTTACTGGAGATGGGTAATTTCTTCACAGGCATGCATGATTAATAATCAGCTGTGTACTGAAAGGGGACCTTCTGAAGATTTCTGGAGTTCTGGCTTTGCACATCTCCCTTCTCTCTTTAGTAGTATGCCTTGCAAATTCTAGGCATCTGGGCTTCCTCAAATTTCCAACTCTGTCTGCTCAACTCAGGGAGACGACTGCATCTGACTGAATTTTCTATCCCTGCACCACACCCTAGTAACTTTCTCCAGCTGAGGTAGTCTTAGCGCTTACCTTATTTGTTTCTCTCAGGGATTGCTGCCTTTTATTTTTTTTATTTTATTTTTTTTTGCCAGACTGTTTCTTAAGTGCTCATACCTTTCACTGGATTTTTATAAGAATCAAATCATAAAAATGATTTGTAAACCACAAAATTGTATGTAATCATTAGATTGTTTTACTACTATAAGATAATCAACTGAATCTTAGTAGCTGAGTGCTACAGAATATCTTACATTTTTCACGTAAGCATTATAACATATCTAAAAATGTAATTTAAAATAACGAAACAATGCTGACTACATTATATGATATGAATATATGGGAATTCAAGTTGATCTTAATGGTAAGAAAAATTACTTTGTACTACAAAATCTGCTCTACCACAATCTGAAACTCTGAGGCTCAGTTTCTGTTGCATGTTTTTGTCTCATGAATACCCTAATTATTATCTTCTAGTTATCCTTTATTTATTCTTATTCAGTGAAACATCTCTGTGATGATATCTTCCTACTGTTTTCTCCACTAAAAATTCACCCCGATTGCTGAAAAGAGAGTGCAATGTCTCAATTTTTGCTTACTTGAAGAAAATGGTGCTTTAAATTATGTAAATAACTTTTGGATGTCTTTCTTTTATGTTACAGATATATGAAGTCTGGGGGTAAGACCTGCAGTAATTTCCCTTAAGGTAAGGATGTTTTCATCTTTTCTGTTTCCATTTGTTTAGAGCTACCTATACAAAGCACAATAAAAGGGCCTCTTTTAAGAAAGTTAACCTATTCAAAATTTAAATTATGAGAAACAATCCCACTGTCACTGAGACGAGCTTTCCTAAGACAGATATATCCCCTCTTTAAAAATTTCTTTGGCATCACCTGAAATTATGAAATGCTAAGATTTTGAATAAATGAAAGTTTGTTTTTTCTTCATCTGCGTCATTTTCAGATACCTAATGAGTGTATGCTAATTGATATGTTAGGCTTTGTGTCCCCACCTAAATCTCATCTTGAATTGTAATTCCCATAATCCCCACGTATCAAGGGAGAGACCAGGTGGAGATAATTGAATCACAGGGGCGGTTTCCCCATGTGTTCTCCTGATCGTGAGTGAGTTTTCACGAGATCTGATGGTTTTATAAGTGTTTAGTAGTGCCTCCTGCGTTCATTCTCATTCCTGCCGCCTTGTGAAAAAGGTGCTTTGCTTCCCCTTCGCCTTCCGCCATGATTGTAAGTTTCCTGAGGCCTCCCTATCCATGCTGAACTGTGAGTCAATTAAATCTCTTTCCTTTATAAATTAGCCAGTCTTAGGCAGCAGTATGAAAACAAACTAATACACTAATGAAGAAAAATCAAAGACTAATTTTTATTGCAAAATACTGTAAATTTTATTATGTACTTGCTTAATATTGAGTATCTCATAAGGATAATTCTATCAAAGTCCATGCAGACAATGGGAAGACAAGCATGCAAAGTAGCTTTTCGGTGGCCTTAGTTTACCAGTTACTTAGTAAGACAAGAATATGAGTAGGAAGTGGAGTAAATGTAAGCTACCATGAATCAAAATGTGGTTAGATGGATTGAAAATGAGGCAGAAGACAGTCTCAGGCAAACATCTTTATTAGATTTTATGCCTGAGAATATACTTCTATCATTCAGATTTGTTTATAAGGCCAATGGGAACAAATGATGGAACATGCTGACTACATGGAGCTAAAAGTTAATGCTGAGTGAGGATCAGTTTAGCACATCTAAATCATAAGGTGTGTGTCTATTTAAGGCCAGAGCAAGTGGTTATTCCATGTAGTTAAGCAACGAAGCCTGTTCACGGGTAGGAGGTGAGGCTTTGTTATTATTTTGACCAAGTGGACTGGATTTGGTAAATGATAGCAAACATTAAGTTATTTTAGTATTTGTATAATGGCAGATTATTTTCTTTTCATATTTATTTTTATACATAGCAAATTAAATGTCAAGTCAACCAAGTAAAATGATTGATTTCTCTCTAGAAGATAGAATAGAAATTTTAAACAGCTCTCAAAGCGTTAAACGAAATGTCCAAGGGCTATAAAGGGAGACTCCATGGAAAACTGTATTCAAATTGGTGCAGATTGTCATATCAATGCAGCATATGCACCATTATAACCATGCAGCTCGATACAGCAGGTATGGTACATCTGAGCAGTAACAGGTAAATTGAAAGAAAATAAAAACTTAAATTTGGCACCTCTTTATTTAAATTGGAGAGCTTTTTAATCTTTTTAGAATCCTCTTGATTTTTTTTTCTTAAGATAGATGGGTTAAAATTATGTGACTAGGAGATGAAAATTTCAATCTAAATTATAATTATTTCCTACATCTGTTCTGATACATTTAGAATGGTTTGTGCTTGTAAATTAGGTGTTAATGAAATAAAAGTGTTGTAACCATGTGGAACATAAGAATTGCAATTGACTGAAGAAGATTCTGTAAATTCTCTAAGGAGACTCGACTGCAAAGAAAGCTCTCATGTGCTACATGCTATACACAAAATTATGTCTTTATACACTTAACTGTTAAATTTAAAGTAAAAACCTAAAAATTGCCAAAGGGAAGCATTACTAAGAACTGCTTTTTAAAGACTAGCATTCTACTTTTATTACTTTGTCTTTACTTCGTTTCTGAACCAGTTAGCTGCACGCTGTGTAAAAGACATAATATTTTACAGCCTTCTAGACCCGCTCCATAGGGACACAGGCTCAGAAGTGTGCCAAATCATCTTTAGAAGGTGAGCTGGTAGCGGTGAGGGTCTGCCTTGGTTGCCTATTTTTTTAATGTCCTGATCACACTCTGGATTGTTGTCATGCAATAAATTCTACTTCTGCTAACTAGAGGATATTTCAGTTATATTTTTGTTAAACAAATGCCCAATTTAATACAATTTATATTTAAGTGATATATATTTATGTTAAAGGGATGAAATGAATAAACTTACAGTGATATCATTCCTAAGAAAGCCTTCCAGCACAGTTTGGTATTAGTTTTATTAAATTAAGGTGAATTACTGGAAAGCAGAATGTTAAGAAATATGCGGTTATAATACTGTACAAGGTGCATATAAGTATTATAAAATTGTTTTCATATGTCCCTAGGAACTTAATTCCAATTTGCCTTTTGTTATGGGCAAAATACCTACTAGGTGTTTTGTAGAAATATGTTTAATACTCTGATATGACTTGAAGGTTGCTAAATAATGAATAAATTTGAAAAATAACTTAAAAGAATTTACACCTGACAAAATAAATTATTACCAGATTCAGAGATAATTTGACTAATTATGGCTATACTCAAATTCCAGTATAACACACTAAGATTTATTTAGATGAAACATCAATACAATTTTGAATTATTAGAAATTTGGAATAATCTTACTTGAACTTCACTCCATGTTGTGAGTGTGTATAGCTTTTCAAATAAAAATGTCGTATTTAAGTAGATTAAATGAAATTCATGTATTTTAGGTGAGACATCAGCTAAGAGAAACTTGTAACTAATTCTCATCATGATTGATGAATTATTGTGTAAGTAGTTTTCTCCAGTGGAGGGAAACCTTCTAAATACATTTCATTTTACTGTTGGACTTGTCATTGTTCTCTATGTTCTTATTTATTTTCCTAAATGCTTCGTGTTATGCATTTCTCTTTTTGAAGAAGGCAAACGTATTGTCAAAAATAAGTCTTCAAATGACTCCTTATGTGATTCTTAAACATTTTTATGTATTAATTTTTTCATTATCTTTACTGCTATTGAAAATGGGGAAAAAGACATCTGAATATAATTATTGACTAATAAGTTGGAGATTGATTTGTAGACAAACTACATAAATAATAATATAGGCAACCCTTATGGCAATGTTTGATTATTTGATCATTGTTCTGATATATAGAAACTCAGTTTTGTGATTTCTTCCAAGCCCTTAAGGCTAAATGGTGGGATTTCAAATTATGTTATCCAACCTTAAGGTATTTTCAAAATTATTAATTTCCCAGGTTTGTGTTTTCTTTTTTAGCTCTGCCAGACAAAGACATACTTTTGCCAGTAAAATATATATAAAAATTGATAGCCAGCATAAAGGATATTTAATTACAATATTGTTTCTTTAAATATTGCTAACAAAAATTTTGTATTGAAAAATATAGATAGCTGCAAGTCCTTATTTTCTTGACAACTCTTGATCCTGCAAAACAATAAAAAATGCATTTATTAATTCATTTGAGGGCTCTAAATATGTAGCCTCATGTGCAAATTCCCTTTTACTCAAATGATGAACATTATTTCTCCCCTTTCATGATTTTTTTCCCACAATTTGAGCCTAAAATTGAGGAACTATAATTTAAAAAATTCATCACTCATGAGCAGCTCTCACTCTAAATCTTACAGATCTCATTTCTTTATGATTGTTTAATTTGTGACACATTTTTCCCCAAATAATTTGTTGTTGATGTATTTTCCTAAAAGCAATGAGAGAATAAAAGGCTACAAATTTTGAACCACTGAGATCAACTAATCCCCTTTGGCATTCCTTCTTGTCAATGTTTGTTAACTTGACATATGAATCAGGTTTTGTTAGTTACCTGAGCTATTCTTCCAAATATTACCCTATGGCTAATGTATGAGATTTGAGGTAGTTTTATGTGCAAGCAAATTAATCATTATTTTAATTTGATAAATGACAAAAGCTTTTGCTTTTAAATTGTTTATATTTGAACTTAGAATCAATTTATTTGCTCTAAAAGTTGAAAATGGTTTCAATTGAAAAGATAACTTAAAAATTATAATCAGTACAATCATAACAGATCACATATATGCTTCTCCAAGAAATAACTTGATTCCAAAAAAAGTAAAAGGTCATTCCTATATAGATTCACGGTTTTAATTTTTTCCTATTTTATCATGCTTTCCTTTTATCACACCCTCTCATTGTTTCTTCAAATTCAAAATTTGTAATATTTTTGTTTTGAGACAGAGTCTCACTCTGTTGCCCAGGCTGGAGTTCAGTGGCATGATCTTGGCTCACTGCAACCTCCGCCTCCTGGGTTCAAGTAATTCTCCTGCCTTAGCCTTTGGAGTAGCTGGGAGTACAGGCACACACCACCACGCCTGGCTAATTTAAAGACTTATTGTGGTTTTAAAGTTGATTTGAACAAATGCAGCCTTTATGACTCATTGAAATGTATCACTTCTAGAGACCCATCTGAGATTGATACTCAGAATGTTTACTAATGGTAATAGAAAGTAAAGGTCACCCTAGCAACAACAAAAAAAGCAAAAAAAAAAAAAAAAAAAAAAGAAAAGAAAAACATACCTAAAACCATTACTGAAATACCTTATCTGGTATGCTATGAGTATTCCAAGCATTATTTATGAATGTCTCTTAAAATATATTTATTAGATCAATAATTCACTCTGAAAGCCTCTTGAATGACATTTTTAATTAGTTGTAGCACAATGATGGAACTACTATTTAATCCTTGTTTCACAAGTAAACATTACACAATAATTTAACTGCTGATTTCAAACAAATTATTCAGTATATTTCATGTGATTTTTTTGTAAATAAAATGGAAGTTTTCTTTCTATATTACATCTTTGGAAAAAAATGTGATATACAATATTTAAGAAGCATTGTGTTCTCTATATGTGTTTAATTTTACAGAGGATGAATGATGACTAATGGGCATTAATCAAAATAAGTAAAAATTATGACTACTGAAGCAGAAATTACTAAATTCTCGTAATTCATTTATAATAGTTTTGGGATCTGAAAGGAAACAATCAAAACAATAACATAGAAGAATTGAAAGAAAAGTATTTATCTACACACATTTTTACCTTCCAATTTGAGATGATTCTTCCTACATTTCTTAAATAGCTCCAAAGAAATTGTATGTACCCTAGTAAGTTGGGGCAGTCTTATAAGAGGAATTTCTGTAAACATTTAATCTAACTTTCTCTTTTTTTTCCCCAACATATATTAAACATTTTTCTCTTGTTATCTCTTCCATATGGCTGAGAAATTATGTGTCTTCCATATGGTGGAAAAACGTTTGTGTTCTTGAAGTTGGCTTTCTGTTGTTCTTCCAACCCACTTAAGTATTACAGCATTTCTCTCATCTGTCTTATTTTATTTTTTCAGTTATTTACCTCTTTTTCTGTATATATCTACTGATTTTTTTAAATTAATGCATATAAACACATTACTAAACTCTTGAAAAGTTCTAAAGCCCTCCAAAATACAAACAGGTTATATTACTAATGTTTATGTATTAGACTGATCATTGGTACTAATTAGACTGATAATTGGTACTAATAATCATATTGCCTATGAAACCAGTGTTACAAATATGTTCTCTAGGTTCTATTGCAAATCACTATAATAATACACTGAAATAGTTTCACATTAGAACTTATTTTTTTAAAAAAGTTGACTGTTCCATTTTTTTCCAAGCACTAGATGAGAGGTTCTGATTCATTAAAAAAAATATATATATATATATATATATATACACACACACACACACATACATATATAACACTAAATATTATGTAAGCACTAAAATTCTGGAATTTACATTAAAAATAAGTTAACAAAGTTTTATAAGATTTTAGTGAACTATGAACTTTAACACAAACAATCCTGCCATTTTTCACGTTATGCTGCGCTTCTATCATTAGCTACTCTGGGAGGTTTTCTTACTTTGGGTCTCACTAAGTTATTTGAAAAGTATGAGAAACAAAATTGTAAATTTCAGGCTTTCAATTTGTCTTGAAGTTTACAAAGCGATGTTCCAGGGAGAAGCTGCAACTAGTGTCTGTAGCTTCCCTTTTCAGTTGTACATGGTTTGAAATGTTTGGGAACTCATAATACACATATCCGCAAACGAAGGATCGCTTTGAAAAATAGTCATTTTTGGCTGGGTGTGGTGGCTCACACCTGTGATCCCAGCACTTTGGGAGGCCGAGGTGGGTGGATCACCTGAGGTCAGGAGTTCGAGACCAGCTTGACCAACATGGTGAAACCCCATCTCTACTGAAAATACAAAATTAGCCAGCGTGGTGGTGCATGCTGGTAATCCCAGCTACTTGGGAGGCTGAGGCAGGAGAATCACTTGAACTTGGGAGGCAGAGGTTGCAGTGAGCCAAGATCATGCCATTGCACTCCAGCCTAGGCAACAACAGCGAAACTCCTTCTCAAAAAGAAAAAGAAAAAAAAAAAAGAAAGAAAGAAAAAGAAAAATAGTCATTTTTGCTCTGTTGAAAAAGCATCAATAATTTTTTTCAGTTTATTTCCATTATGAAAGAATGTTGTCAGACATAATGTCCTAAAGTGAAATCAACATGTTTTATTGTGTTTTTTTTTCCTTCTCCAACTTAGCAAAGTAAATTGGCCAACTAGCAATCACATAACCTAAAATTATTCTATTAGCACTGAACTTATGAGTGCTAAGTACACATTTAAATAAAAAGTGTTAGTAATTTTATTCCAGTAATAAGAAATTTATCAATCAAAACAAACTATAGAATCATGTAAGATAATTTTGTCATGTACTCCTATTATTTCAATTTTATAATATTCAATCTTCTGTATTTCTGATACTAGATTTTGGGGTGATATACATTATACATGAAAATATTTTCCTTCAAGCACAAAATAAAAAGAATGTATTTCAAGAAAGCATATCTGGACAATTAGTACCCTGTTTTGTTTTGTTCCGTTTGTATTCACTCTTAGGTAATTTGTTCCCCTTCTAATATTCTTAATACTTCTGAAATTGCTGGGTTGGTAATTGTTAGTGATGGAAGTTTCAGTACTTGTGACAGTCTTTTTTCACATGTTAGATAGCTGCTATGAGCACTGTACTTCTCTTTTCTCATTCTAGGCGTTAGCTCTCTCCCTTGCTCTTTGGTAACGTTTACAACCCTACACTATTGCAACAGTTCTTTGCCCAATGTCCGTCTTCACGTGCAATGTTGGTTACTTTTCTGTTTTTATTCTTGTGTACTTATTGCATTTTTATAACATAAAAATTATCTTAAAAGTAAGTGATTAACAGTAAAGCTAAAATAATGGATATGAATAAATTTACTATAAATTATGAAAAAAATTACTATAAATTATGAAATATTTAATATTTTCAAAATACAATTAAAAAGATAAAGTACAGTGTCTTTAAAATATCTTTACTCATGTAATATTGTCAGATAAATTGTAGTTTTAGAAATATCATGTTGATTATTACAATCAGGAAATAATTTTAAGTACATGACATGAAATAACAACTATGCAATAGATTATACAACTATACTGTCGTATAAGGCATATACAAACTGGAAAGTTGATAACAGTTACATATTTTAGAAGTTTTAAAAGTCTCTTAATGATAAGATTCTGTATTACCTGTTTCAAGTTTTGAAATAGTACTAAATAATTATAAAATCCACTGTTCATTAATTAAAAAGGAACACATGCTATATATGAATGTCTCAGAAAATAAAATTGTTTTCCATGGCTTTATTTATTTATGCTAGTTTCTCTTCTGCTTTTACTCAAAACTGTGGAGTAACTCAGTGCTTATTTCTGGGCCTCTTCTTTTTTTTTTAGCCAAACTCTGTCACTAGATGCCTCATCCAATTTCATGGATTCTAAACATCGTCTATTTGTTACATTGCCAGGCCTGACCTAGCTCCTGAGTTTGATTGAGATTATGTGCCCAACTCAGCCTCTCTACGTGGATGTCATCTTCATCAGTGCATCTTGTCAGTTCTGTCTAAAGCATAGAGGTATCCACTTTGCTCTGTCTTCATTGCCAGCATCCCAGTTTAGGTGAGCACCCTCTTTGTTTTGGCAATAGCCCTTTGACTGATCTGCCTGCTCCCAGAACTCTTGCTTCTTTGCACCTTGGCATTTGCTCTTCTCCTTGAAGGAAAGTTCTTACCCTGGCTCGCCGTTGAATCTCATCCTTCAGATCTTGAACTCCTTCTGGACGACTTCCCAGACCACTTCCCTACTCAAAGTAATTCTTTATTACAACACTCTTCTGTTTCGTCTCCTTTCTTTTTGTCTATAGTACTTACAACTATCAGCAATTACTTTATTTAGTTTTATTTATTTTATATTTTCAGCTTCCTTTACTTAATTAAAAGTTACAGATAGATAAAGTTCTTGTTGATCTACTCTATTTCCAGCACCTAGCAAGATCCTTGGTATATGAAAACTACTTAACTACTTCATGCCTCTTTTGGCAGTATTTATTGCAGTAGTTTTGAAATAGCTTTTAAAGTGTTAAATCATTTCTCTGAATGATTTAACTTGAAAACAGATAAGCTGTTCTGTTCTTATTGAAACAAGGTAGTGGCTAACCAACCTCAATCACATCATTTCTCTGGTCCCCTGCAGAATCCCCATGAGATCCCCACCAGTACTGTTAACTGGTGAAACCATGGTACTCCTCAGACAACCACTGACAACTCCTCTGCTATTACAGTACTATGGCTAAATCCTCGTAGTGCTGGTAGGATAGCATAATAGAAATGCAAAAAACTTAGAGTCAGAAGATTTGGGAGCTATTTACAACTTTACTACTCTAATAGATCCATTTGATTTTTTTTTTTTTTTTTTGAGATGGGAGTCTTGTTCTGTCACCTAGGCTAGAGTGCAATGGCACGATCTTGGCTCACCGCAACCTCCATCTCCTGGGTTCAAGTGATTCTCCTGCCTCAGCCTCCTGAGTAGCTGGGATTACAGGTGCCTGCCACCATGCCCGGCTAATTTTTGTATTTGTAGTAGAGACGGGGTTTTACGGTGTTGGTCAGGTGGGTGCATTTGATTTCTATAGGGCTAATCAAATTTGTAACTAACAGTAATTCATTGAGATGATAACACAAAGCGCTAAGATAATAAATGGAACACCACTTTTTACACAGTAAAATCATCTTTAAATATTACATTCTTTTTCTTTTTTTTTTCTTTCTTTTTTTTTCTTGAGATGGAGTCTTGCTCTGTCACCCAGGTGGGGGTGCAGTGGTTCGAACTCGGCTCTCTGCAACCTCTGCCTCCTGGGTTCAAGTGATTCTCTTGCCTCAGCCTCCAGAGTAGCTGGGATTACAGGCATGAGCCAACGCACCCAGCCAGATTTTTTTTTTCTTTTTGTAAGATGGCATTTTGTATACAGCTGACATCGTCCACTAGTAAATTCATGACATTTCTCCCCAAATCAGTTCCTTTAGTAGTATCTCTTGTCAGTGATAACATTGTTTATCCAATCATCAAATGAGAAACCTTGGAATGACAGTCATTCAGCCTCATCTTTCCTTGTAAATCAAAGGTCCTGAAATTAACTTCTTTAATATATTTTAAACCCATCACTTCTGCCGACACCTCTCTAGTCCATGATAACATTATCTTTCTGTTGAATTAATGTAATAAACTCTTGATTATCTTTCCTAATATACTGTTTTCCCACCCCCTGCCAAGTCTGTGGTCCATACAGCTACTATCTTAACAAAATCTAAATTAAGTGATGTTACTCCCATGCTTAAATCTTTTGTTTCTAATATTTTAATATGCATTGAAGCCACTTGGGAATATTGCTAAAGTGATCTTGGTTTAGCAACTCTGGGATGGAGTCTGAGATTCTATATTTCTCGCAAATTCCCAGATGATGCCAGTGCTATTACTCCATGCATGGTACTTTGAATAGCAAGGAGTAGATGATTCCCAGCTACACTGGAATAAATATTAAAACCTGTCCATGGTCTATAAATTCATACATGATATCCTCCTTGCCTTTAAATATCATATCATCTCTTTCCACTTTCCTTCTCAGTCTCTACATTCTGACCCTTCTTTTGGTGCCGTGAAGGCAGGAAGCTAATTTCTGCTTCAGAGTCTTTGCACAAGTTCTTCCATCTGTTTGGAATACCACACCTCCTACCCAATACTCACCCCTGCCCAGGCAACTTCCACTCATGTTTTAGATGTCTCAGCTTAACTCTCACTTTCATGGAAGCTTTCCTGGAGGCTAAATATGGCTCGGTGCTTTCTCTTTTAGCTTTCATTACATCTCACATTTCCTCCTCATAGCATATATTATAGTTGTGATTAAATAAGTAATTACATTATTGTCAACCTAAATAACAGGAAAAGTCTCTACAAGAAAATGATGTTTATTTGGGAGTAGGCATTGCAATGGGAATATGCATGCCATAGTATAGTATACTATGTGTGTATTCAGGGAAGTAAAGGAAGACAAGACAATTTTTTTTTAAGATTACCTAATTGTTTTGAGATAATTATCCTTGGCTATAAGTATTAATATCAATAAGGGCAATAAGGGTGGTACCAGTACACATTTGAATAGACAGTTAGATTAGCTGATAGATGGGAGAGATCAGCTAATTCCTATAGAAATGGGCTAGTGCTTGGTCTAGAAATAAACTATCTGTAGTTACTAAAAGGGTGATGAGTAATAGGTAGGATAGGATGGGGGCTGGGGAAGCTAGAGGTAAAAGCTGAGTGGAGAACCTATGGAGAGAATGACATCTTGG
This sequence comes from Homo sapiens, assembly GCF_000001405.40. Classification (NCBI taxonomy): domain Eukaryota; kingdom Metazoa; phylum Chordata; class Mammalia; order Primates; family Hominidae; genus Homo; species Homo sapiens. The sequence goes on from NC_000005.10 coordinate 165,018,307, forward strand.
CCATGCCTGGTTGGCTGCAATGGACTCAATGAAGTTATTTTGATTAAGAAAAGAAAACTGCCATAGCGGAAGAGATCCAAAGAGGCAAGAACAGAGTAAAGGCCTCAATTACCCATGGGCTGAAGAAGTGAAGTTGAGTGAGTTCTAGAAACAAAGTTCAGAGTCAAGGAGAGAATTTGTCTCTAATTCTGGCCTAAGACACAATGAGGCCAAAAGTATAGACTTTAGGTGAGGTAATTATGAAAATTGAAGGGATGGAGATACTCAAGACCACGCATCTGAGATGAAGCCCCAGGACACTGCAGGACTGCAGGAGTTTTAATGACCATACCACAGCTGCTGGCAACGTCTCTGACTCTAATCTTTGTAGTGGAGAACAGTATAATTTGGGCATGACAAGGAGAGAGCAAGATCTGGTGTAGGCTCAACATAGCACACTCCGGTGGTCAGAGCAGAGATGGATATTATATCAGAGCACTCTATTTGCTTCAGTTAACCCTCTTGGATCCTATAACAATCTCAAAGGAGAATATCGTGTGGCATGCTAGGATATGCTGATATCCTGATGAATCTGTGGCACATTTTTGAAATAATGGAAGCTGACCCTTTTCTGCTTTCTGTATTCATAACCATCTTCTAGTGGGCTTTTTTTTTTTTTTTTTAAGTCTACTGGCGCTCTCAAGCTGCCCTAAACTAGTGCTTTTTAAAAATAAGCATGTGAATCGCCTGCAAGGCTTGCTATACTCCAGTTTCTACTCCCCCCAACACTCAGAATTTTGGATTCAATAGGTCTGGATGTGTTACCCACTATGCCAATTGATATGTCCATTAGGTTCGGGCACCTAGGTGTGCTTACTCAGTAAGGTTTCACAGTGGCTCAATAGCCAATTATATATACTTCAATTTGCAGTTTATTGTGAGGCTTTCACACACAATCAATCATGCAATTAATACTCAACACACAGCCAATAATAACAGAGTGCTAATAAACCACAGCAGTGGCTCAAGGGACCAACACACCAATAGATTAATCGAGTGGGTCCAGAAAGCCTTAAGATACTGGTGGTAGTAGGAGGTCACTGTTTCTCCCAAGTAGAAGTTCTAGTGGCAGCTGTCAAGATGAGAGAAGCTCTCGGAGTTCTCCTGGGCAGACCCTCCTAAGGCCTCTCAAAAAAAGGCCTTGTCCTGACTTTTATGATTCTCCCAGATGGGTGTATTTTCATTAACTCAGCCACCTTTCACTTTTGTCAGTTCCTTTCAAGTCTCCCATGGTACACAGCAAAAGCAGGTGTTACTTTCCTAACTCAGTCTATTACTTATATGTTTATCACTTTGAGGGGGTCACTGTGGGCTCAATGCTTCTTGACATGAGTGATTCCATTTTGAGATAGTAGGTTCACAAATTGTTGTGATATATTAAGGTGGGGCTCAGTAATTTGCATTTTTAACAAGTTCCCAATTGATGCTCATGCTGTTGGCCCAGAGCCACACTTTGAGAACAACTGTTTTAAACCTTCAGTCCTACTATTCTATCCAAATTTGTCATCTCTAAGGCCAAAAGCCCATTTAAGTAACAAGAGATGATGCCCCTCATCTGAAACACATACGCTAAAATTGAAGCAATTTTAGGGCATCTCAACTTGGCAAAATATAGTCATCTATTGAAATGTTGTCTACAAATAAGTGAATGACTGATGTACAACAATTTATCTGGCTTCATTCCATTTTTAAATAGTAAGAACTATGTTTAAGTGAGATAAGTCTAATGAGCAGACCCTCAGGAAATGTCATTAAATGAAAAGAGAAATTTCTCAATTGTGAGGAAGGATTTTCCTGGGCAGAATGTTGACATATTTGGCATAACGAAATTATTTGTTTTGTTTTATTTTCCACTGTGGAGTCCTGATAAGTAGGCAAAAACAAGGAAGGGGCCCCAGGTCGGGTAGAACAATTGTTCTGAGAGATGGCTAATCACAAACTACTGGCACAACCTCCTGTTGCCGAATACCTTGTGGCACATGAAGCTCCAGCAGCACAACCTTGACCTCATTCTGTACATAGCCCCTTCAACATGACCCTATAAAACTTCCGGTTAACCCCTGCCTCTTTGCAGACAGCACCTTCCCTGCTGTGCTGCCTGTTGCACTCTCGCAACATATCTCTTTGAGTACAACTGTTTTGGTAAATTCCTTTTACCGCCCACATTGCTGACCTCACCCAGTCCCACCTGCAATACTAACCTCTACTTCTGAATCCACAAATCTCCTAGTTTTCTCTTTTTCCGACTTTACCATTTCATTTATAGCAATTCTTGTTTTTGTTATTTTTATTTTTTTTATTTCAATAGGTTTTTGGGGAACAGGTGGTGTTTGGTTACATAAGTTCTTTAGTGGTGATTTCAGAGATTTCAGTGCACCTATCGCCGAGCAGTGTATACTTTACCCAATGTGCACTCTTTTATTCCTCCTCCCCCTTCTTTCCCAGAGTCCCCAAAGTCCAATGTGTCATTCTTATGCCTGTCCTCATAACGTAGTAGCTCCTACTTATGAGTGAGAACATAAGATGTTTGGTTTTCCATTCCTGAGTGAATTCACTTAGAATCATAGTCTTCCAGTTCCATCCAGGTTGATGTGAATGCCATTATTTCATTTCTTTTTATGGATGAGTAATATTCTATGGTGTGAGTGTGTGTGGGTGTGTGTGTGTGTGTATTACTTTTTTTTATCCATTTGTTGATTGATGGACATTTGGGCTGGTTCTTTATTTTTGCAATTGCAAATTGTGCTTCTATAGACATGTGTGTCCACATATCTTTTTCATATAATGACTTCTTTCCTTCTGGGTAGATACCTAGTAGTGGAATTGCTGGATCAAATGGTAGATCTAGATTTCTTTAAGGAATCTCCACACTGTTTTCCGTAGTGGTTGTACTTATTTTTACATTCCCACCGACAGTGCAAAAGTGTTCCCTTTTCACCACATTCGTGCCAACATCTGTTTTGTTTATTTTTTTGATTATGGCCATTCTGGCAGGGGTGAGATGAAGACAGGTGTTGAAATGGGAATTGTGTGCCTAAAGAAGAGGAAGGAGACTGGTGATACACAAGGGAATTTTGTAAGTTGGAAGCTACCAGTTTCATGTATTTTGATCATCACCCAAAAAATTGCAATATCAGTTAAGGTTTGTCTTTCATTGTCTCCCCAGGTGTGAGCATATTCCATTGTTTAAAAGCATCTGTGAAAGAAGCATTCATTTTTTTCAAGGATAATTTTTCAATACAACACCTGGTCAAAAACTAAATTGGACTCTGAGACTGCAGCATGACTTCCTTTTACATCACATAGCATTTCGATGAAAATGCATAAGAATGCTTCCATTTGCAGGAGTTACATATACATTTTTGTGGTGTCCTGTTTAGGCAATTTTTAAAAATAACAGTAGAGGTGTTAATTGCTGTAGTTACCTCAAAGGTAAAAATCTCACCTTAGGTTCAATGACTTGGCTTTGCATCTTGATCTAAGCCTTAGGGCAAATAATCTAAAGCCAAAATATGATCACAAACTATTATTTTGCATTTTAGCCTATATTAAGGAGACATAATAGAGTCCACTGGAAGATGAGCTATGGAAACACTCTTAAAAGCTGTCAGTCTTATGTGCTCACTGACCTTTGAAAGAGAATATATATATATATATATATATATATATATATATATATATATATATACTTTTTTTTTTTTTTTTTGATATGGAGTCTTACTCTGTCGCACAGACTGGAGTGCAGTGGCGCAATCTTGGCTCACTGCAACCTCAGCCTCCCGGGTTCAAGCCATTCTCCTGCCTCAGTCTCCTGAGTAGCTTGAGTAGCTGGGATTACAGGCGCGTGCCACGACGCCTGGCTAATTTTTGTATTTTTAGTAGAGACAGGGTTTCACCATGTTGGTCAAGCTGCTCTCGAACTCCTGATAAACAGGCCTTGCATTTTTAAGAGAGTAAATGTATTTTTAGAATTCAGAGATTCTCAGTTTTTTTACTCAAAAAGTGTTTTTAAGGATTTAAAATCCAGTAAGCATTCAGTGGATTTGTTTTGTGTTTTGTCTTCCCTTTAACCACAAATAGAAAAGAGATTCTCCTGTGTGTCACTTAGCAATTCTTCAGCCAAGATATCTCCAACTATATTACAATAGACATGGTAATTTCGTAGATTTTACCAGCTTGTAAAAACCACAGTTAGTATTTAGAAAATAAAAGGATATTCAAATTGCTCCTATAAATTCAAACTGTATCTCTTTTTATGTATCACCTTTGAGAATATTTCCTATAACATATTGGAAGTAAGGGAGATTTTGAAACTAAGATTCATAGCCATTTAGTATTATCCTTATCCATATGAACAAAAGTAGGAAAACTGGATCTTTTATTCCATTTCAGTCTTACAATTTGATTACTGTAATAACGGATGTCCTTAGCAGTTTTTGTTCAGCATCACATTGGACCCTTTTGCACAAGATTTCTTTACATTGTTCTAACAGTTTGGTCGCTTTACAATATGTTATACTCACCAATATTAATACATAATAATTAATAAACTTCAGCTTGCATACAAAGAGCTTATTGTCTTTGTAGATTGAATTGCAGTAAAGATTTTCCAAATGCCAGAATTTAGTCCGTTTGAAACCAAGCATGGAAAGGTTTGGATTCCTATTTTTTTTTTTAATGGATCCTTTTTCACTTTTTGACCAAAAAGTTTATTTTCATAAAATGACTCCTAGGCAATTGCAACAACTATTATACAGATATTTCAGGTACTCCTTCAGCTACTTCAGTTTACCCAGTTACTCCTGCTACTATAGCTACTTTGCCATACCCAGCTTCTCTAATCACTTATTCTGTCTGGCCCATCTACTCTATCATAGGTCTCTCCAGCTGTCCTAGCTACTTCAGTTAAACAAGATACTGTGGTGAACTAAGCTTCTCTTTCAAGTAATGCCACTCTTCTTTCAGATGCACATTCCTTTCTTCAATTAGCCCAGCTACTCTGACTGAACCAACTATGCCTAACGAATTCAACTATTCTCATCTTCAAGGCCATTATTTTTGTTTCTCAAACTTTTACCCTTTATGACCCTCATATTTCATCTATTTTTTTCATATCTCATCTTCTCTTTGAATGCCTTAGAACTAGAGTTGGCTTCTTGCCCCCAAGAATTTCTGCTTCCTCTATAGGCTTAGGACTTATGTATTCATCCTTTGTCCATTTCGGTAGAATGTGGTTGGAGCTCCTATTCTCATTTCTTATTTATGCTTTTGGCTTCACCCTATTCCGATCCCTATGTTGTTTCTCTTCTTTTGGAAATATAGTTTCTGCCCTACTCCCCCCCAAAAAAAACTAAAGGAAAAAAATTAATAGGACCCTATTTCCACCTAAAATCTTACATGGATCCACGAAATTACAAAATCAAATAAAAGTATTAATGCTCTGATAGGACGTCTTACCCTCTTGACTTCCAATTTTCTCTGCAAATTAGTGCATAGGGCAGAAGTACAGAACACAATCTGAAAATTGATAACCCGGCACAGCAGTTTGCAAACTAAATGCAATGCTTTAAATTTAGGCCACTGCCTGTTTTTGCACAGTCTTTGAGCTGAGGCTAGCTGTACCTAGCCTTTTAAATGATTGGAAAAAATATAATGAATATTTCTTGACATGTGAAGAGTATTGCTAATACTTCAAAGTCTGAATGAAGATGTACTGAAATACGGTCAGCTCATTTGCTTATGTATGACTTACAGCATTGGAGCGTAGACACCCTGTGGCCCACAATGCCTAAAACATGTTTCTATACATGTTCATGTATAGAAAAATGTTGAAAGATACTATTGTAGAATATAGGCTGTCACAGGTGTTCATGTCTAGAAATCATAGTGCACTTCAGGAAATACAATGACATACAACTATTTTCAACCTTAAGTTACTAAAAAAAATGAGGAAGAAATCATCTTTTCTAGTACATGTAACATTGTGGAACCAAAGGTTTAAAAAATATCTGTGGGGAAGAAAATAAGAGCTTAAAGTTAAGGAAAATACATATATTTTATAATTCAGAGAAGAAACCACCATTATTCAGTTTTATCAGCAGGCATACTTGAGTCCAGTTCACTGAGCACCAGTATTTTGAAGGCACATCATTACAGAAATTCTGAACCAAGGGCTCCTGGTATTGACCTTCAACCCTTTTCTGACTCAGCTCTAATAGGGGCCAGAAAAAGATCCCAACTCATTTCACCTGTCAACTCCATCGTGCCTAAGGCTGACAGAGCGCTCATGCTCAGCGTTAATCCAAACTGTCTTTCAATCAGTGCTCAGAGACAAATATAGCCAAACTGAAATTTAAATTGGAAATTAATACATTTAACAAATCTAGAAAATGTTGATTCGGATAATATTTGAGATGATTCTTAATAGGAGGCATTTTGAATTAGTGGAAATTGGATTTGGAGTAATAATTTAGATGGAAGGTATAGCTTGAACAGAAACCTATAGGTTGAATAATATATGTATTTGAGAAATACATGTATTTCCAAGTGATTAAAACAAAGGGTACATATTTGAAAATATAAGTTTGAATTATGTGAACAATCTTGAATGTGAAAATAATTTGGTAAAGCAGTTGGAGAATCTCTCTATTTTCTTATTTTTATTTTTTTAGGAAGTAGAGGGATCTGAGTAGACTGGTGCTTTAAAATTGCAATTTTTAATATAGAGGAAATGGGTAAATTCCTGGAAACGCACACTATCTCAAGATGGCATCTAAGAAAAAATTGAAACCCTGAACAGACCAGTATTGAGTTTCAAATTTGAATCTCTAATACAAAACCTACTAACCAAAATAGCCCCACACTAAATGGACTCACAGCCTAACACTACCAGACATACAAAGGGGCTGATATCAATTCTACTCAAACTCTTCCAAAAAATTGAGGAGGAGGTACCCCTCCCTAACTCATTTCACAAAGCCAGCATCAGCTCAATACCAAAACCTGGCAAAGACACAATAAAAAAAGGAAAATTACAAGTCAATATCCCTGAGTAATGTGGATGCAGAAATCCTCAAAACACTAGCAAACCAAATCCAGCAGCATATCAAAAAGTTAAATCACCATGTTAAAATAGGCTTCATTCCTCAGACGCAAGGATGGTTCATCATATACAAATTAATAAATTAGATTTACCACTTAAACAGAATTAAAAGCAAAAACCATAGGATGATCTCAATAGACACAGAAAAATCCAATAAAATCCAACATCCCTCCATAATAAGATCCATCAACAAACTTGGTATCAAAGGAACATACTTCATAATAGTAAGGGCCACCCATGACAAACCCACAGCCAATATCATATTGAATGGGCAAAAGCTAGAAGCATTCCCCTTGAGAACTGGACTAAGACAAGGATGCCCACTTTTGTCCCTGAAGCGAGAAGATCATTTGAGCCTGGGAAGTTGAGGCTGCTGTGAACCATGATCATGCCACTGCACTTCAACTTGGGTGATAGAGCAAGACCTTGTCTCAAAAAAAAAAAAGTCAAAAAAAAAAAAAAAAAAAAAACAGCAGATGCTGGCAAAGCTGTGGAGAAAAGGAAACACTTATATACTATTGGTGGGAGTGCAAATTAGCCACTGTTAAAAGCAAGTCAGAGATTTCTCAAAGAACTTAAAACCAAACTATCATTTGACACAGCAATCCCCTTAGCGGATATATCTCCAAAAGAAAATACATCATTCTTACATGGTCAGGAGTTCAAGACCAGCCTGGCCAAGATGGTGAAACCCTGTCTCTACTAAAAATACAAAAAATTAGCCAGGCGTGGTGGTGGGTGTCTGTCGTCCCAGCTACTCAGGAGGCTGAGGCACAGAATTGCTTAAACCTGGAGGGGCGGAGGTTGCAGTGAGCCAAGATCATGCAACTGCACTCCAGCCTGGGCGACAGAGTGAGACTCCGTTTCAAAAAAAAAAAAAAGAAATATGTACTTGCATGTTCATCGCAGCACTATTCACAATAGCAAAGACATGGAATCAACATAGGTGTCCATCCACAGTGGACTGGACAAAGAAAATGTGTTTTATATGTATACCACAGAATACTATGCAGCCATAAAAAAGGATGAAATCATGTTCTTTGCAGCAACATGGATGCAGCTGGAAGACACTAGCCTAAGTGAATTAGGGCAGGAACAGAAAATCAAATACCGCATGTTCTCACTTATAAGTGGGACCCAAACACTGAGTACACATGGACATAAAGATGGAAACAATAGACATTGGGGACTACTGGTGGTGGGGAGGGAAAGAAAACTAACTACTGTGGTTGGAAATGGAAAACTAACTTTTGGGCACTATGCTCAGTAGCTGGGTGATGGGATGAATAGTACCCAAAACCACAGCATCATGCAGTATAACCAGATCACAAATCTGCACATGTACCCTGTGAATTGAATCTAAAATAAATGTTGAAATTAAGAATTAATATTGGTAAAAACAATAAACTTTTATAAAAGAATTGTAATTTCTTCAGTGTTGTGCACATAGCCAAGGTTTGGACAAGGTAAACTATTGGGATATTGAAAAAAATGTTAGAATTTATATTTGTAATCTACAATATTAAAATAACAGAATTTTTAATGGTAAATATGTGAATTGATATGGCACAGGGATTTTGTCTGTGTGAAACATGGTCCCACATTGTATATGGTCAGCAAACCATCCTTGGGGAAGTTTGATTTCACCACATATGGGAATGACAATGTACCTCTACTCCTAGCTTTCAGTTCACTGCTGCTTATTGCCATTTATGTCCACTCAGCGGATTCCTACATTATATTATCTAGTTTTGACTAAGCATATCTTCCCAAACAGATGAATGTCTTGCCAAAAAAAAAGTTCATTATTCTAATAATACAAGGACAAGTAACCACCAAGAAAATAACAGTAATGGTACTACTTTAATTAACAAATTGCTCTCATTATGTTGGTGACTATAATTATTGTTATAATTGTGGTCACCAACATAATGAGGGCAAACAACTATAAGCTAGTTTGTCTGAAGTCAGCCAAAATGCATTATTAAGAAAATTTGGCATGTGTATAATGGTCCACTATTACTAATTACTAGTAATATGAATTAGTGACCATGTTTAGGAGGCAACTTAAAATATTGTTTCATCTTAATCTCACCCTTTGAACTCATCTATATACTATGTTGTTTTACCATGTGAAAATTTTATTAGCCAAGTAGTGCAATACACAATGTTCTAAGTTAATACTTGCTGCATATATTAGGGGTTGTCATCACAGACAGTGCTTAGTATGAGCAATTACCACTTTTTTTTTTTTTTTTTGAGACGGAGTCTTGCTCTGTCACCCAGGCTGGAGGGCAGTGGCGTGATCTCGGCTCACTGCAAGCTCCGCCTCCCGGGTTCATGCCATTCTTCTGCCTCAGCCTCCCGAGTAGCTGGGACCACAGGCGCCCGCCACCACTCCTGGCTATTTTTTTTTTTTTTTTTTTTGGATTTTTAGTAGAGCCAGGGTTTCAGCCAGGATGCTCTGGATCTCCTGACCTCGTGATCCCAAAGTGCTGGGATAACAGGCGTGAGCCACCGTGCCTGGCCATAATTACCAAATTTTTGAATGGAGTAAAGCAGAGATGATAGACCTTCAAGAAGTGATCTAAAATGGAAAGCAGTTGGAAGCTGGTTTTGCTGGCCCTGACATGAGCTGGGATTCTGGCAATTACAAAAGGAAGGGAGGTGGCATTCACAGAAAACATTACAGGATGCCATCTGTGGATGAGATGGAGAAGTCAGAAAGTGCAACGATGTTTAAAGCATGAGTGACTGATGCCTAGATTCGTGTGCAATGACATCAAGTCAGGAAGAGGAGCTGAATTTAGGAGCACAATTAAGCTCCTTTATGTCTTTGTTTTTTTTTTTTAACAGAGAAATACTAAAAAAAAAATGTTTCCTTGCTTTTACCAGTGAGTTTCTTGAGTAGAATCTGGCAGTCTAAGTCATTCCTACAAAGTGAAAAGCTAACAGAAGAAATTAATTGGCCTATATTTTCAGTAATGTACTCTACATGAAGAATAGACAGAACAGATGTTTTCTGTTCTAAATTGTGTGTGTTGTCTTTTAGTTTTCATTTGTCATGTGATAGTAAGCATTGTTTCAAGGAATTTTTAATTTTGAGATACATAATACACTCTTCTGGAGGTCGTCATTTCATGTTAAATTCATGATACAAGACTCCCACTGTGTACTGTACTCAAACACTTCCAAGTGAGAATGGATCTACAAGTAATTTCTCCGTGTACATGTATTTTTTATTAATATGTACTTGAATCAATTGTTGTACTAGGTATTAGATAGCTAGAATAGTTTAATGTGTAAATTTAAAACTATAAACTTCTGTTTATACTTTTTATAAACTATAAACTTCTGTTTATACTTTTTATAAACTATAAACTTCTGTTTATACTTTTTATAAACTATAAACTTCTGTTTATACTTTTTATAAACTATAAACTTCTGTTTATACTTTTTATAAACTATAAACTTCTGTTTATACTTTTTATAAACTATAAACTTCTGTTTATACTTTTTATAAACTATAAACTTCTGTTTATACTTTTTATAAACTATAAACTTATTTACATATAAACCATATATGAATTTATGCAAACTATATGCTTTACAAAAAACTGGATTTCTGGTAGTTATGTGTACTTTGCATGTTTAGTTTGTAGTTTAATGTGCACACAAATGATATTTTCATATATGACAATATGAACTCCAGTACAATATTTTAGAGTAAAAGTTTTGTTTCAAACATTTCTGTACAAAATTAAGTGCCTTAACGGAAATGAAGTGACTGGGCATTATTCTTAGCGTGGTGTAGTTAGGGCATTTACATACTGAATATCAATAGTTCTTGTCTTGTGTAATTTACAATCTAAATACTGCATGAATGAGTTATCTCTCATAGGAGTAGTCAGTAGGAATGATTGCCATTGATAAGTTTGAGATGACATAATTTAAGCTTGAGATGACATAATTTAAACTCAACAATGATAGACACCAAAGCATATTCATGTACTGATCACATGGGTGAACATATTTTCATACAAAGGGGTCACAGATACATACCACAAGTGCTATGCAAGTTTTGTTGGAAAAAAAAAACCTATAAGCAGAGAAATAGAGCACATGCATCATGTGAAATATAATTATTCCACCATTTAGTCTAGACATGGATGGCATATGCATCATGGCCAATGAGCCACTAGGGAGCGGTCCTGTCCATGTGGTGCTTTACATACTTACAGACTGGGAGTAATGGGAGCCCCCTGGTGAGAGAAGCAGCCTTGTTATAAAAAAGGGGAAGCCTCCAGAACCTAGTGGCTGGCATCAGCCTGTTCTTTTGAGATAAGTTAGACCTCCTGACAGTTCTTTGCTAAGACTCCAAAAGCAGAAAGGAAATAAGGCTTTAATTTGTGTTTCATCTTCTAGTAATATGTTTTTCTATTCTTAAGGAAAAGATTTATTGACAGTTTAAAAGAATATAGTTGTTAATACCTTGAATAGACATGTTGTAGATGGAAACATTAAACTAGTAATTTCTTGTTTATCCTTCTGGGGTTGAGGTATTTCAAAGTTAAGCAAAGCTTGGAACTGGATATTTTAGTCTCTCATTGGACATCATGAGATGCATGACTTTAGTTCTATGCAAACCACATCCTATTTCCCTATTTAAGACAATGTTTTTCACTTGTTTTCAATATGCAGAATAAATTATATATTTAGACTATGCTAAATATAATATTGAAACCTAATGTGTATAATAGTTAGAGGTACCTTTAAATAGCATAAGCAAGGATATATATTATTTAGTAAAGTCATTGTGGTCTGCCTTACCAAAGTGACTGAGAGTCAGGACCCTGGTTCCCGTTGTAGCTTTTCACCTTATTGTGTGTACCTGAATAACCCACAATAGTGCAGGTGTGACCCTCTGCAGTTTGGGAGTGACATAAAAATTTGGACTAATGTCAGTGTTTCAGAAACACTTTTTATGTCAATTTTTCAAAGTTTTACCAGAAACTTCTAAACCTCTAAGATACTCCCTGTTCATGTCTAATCTGGCCAGCTCAGAAGAAATTCACATGGGAACCTTGCTAACCTGTCTCATACTTGTAATCTTTTAACTATTTCCTTGTCTCATTCTTCACACATCAATTCAAACACCATTCCCATCTCCTTTCTGTGTTAATTAAACTCTGCCATCTATATATATATATATTGGTTCAGAGCATTCTTCTGATTCTACATTGTGTACAGACCTACTCAGTTGTGCAAGAAATTTGCCATTATTGTTATACATGCTGTTATGATTTTGAACTTTTATCAAGCCCGCCTTCCCAAGAACAAAACTCTAAGCTCACTGAAATCAAGGTGGCCTTTGGCAAATCAGGTGCTAAACCTTTTTCTCCTACATAATCCTCACGGTAATCCTCACATTCCTATTACATCTGTATTCAAGGGGAGTTGCTTTAAATTACTCAGGAAATTGGGGAATTTGGTATTAGATGACTATTATCTGCTCAGGATGAGAGACAGTAAAAATTCTGTTATTACTTGCTCTCTGTCATATAGTTCACAAAACTTACAACTCCTTGCCCCACTCTGACCACAGTGTCTCTTCGTGTTTGAAATCTACCCACTCTACTCCCAGCTACTTCTGTTCTCTGTACAAGGGAACATGGAAAGCATCTGGCTGCTCTCTGCTACTGCTCTAGGAGTCATGGAAGATTATCTGAGGTTATCCAGATGCCCTCTGCCTAGACATGTTATTCAGCCTTTTATACTCTACTGTGTTTCATTGATGTGCACAAATGCAAATCCCAGAGTATATAGGAAAATGTGAATATTTTTTTCCTTTTCATATTAGATTTTCCATTTAGAATTTTATAACATACAGATAAGATAACACACTTTTCAATTGTCTTCTCTTGAGCTTCTTTAGCTGTAATCACTAAGTTCTTAGAATGTGGTCAACACACCTGCCTTCCACCATCACCAGGGAGGATAGGGGAAGGACCCTTCAACACAGTGAGAAGAGCCATTCCCCTATTAGAAGGAATGTTTATTTTTTTTGTCCAGCATGGCTTGAAATTAAAGTAGGAGAGTGTAACCTTATCGCATGAGAAAGAAGCAAAAGAAGCTATTAATTGGAAGGGCCCACTGGACTGTGAAGCAATGGTCTGGAAAGTTTTAGGAGAAGATAGGCAGAGGTGCATGACAGGTGATGTAGGCTCTGCTGAGGTGTAGACAGCACTGGAAAAATGTGCGTAAATAACACCTGCTGACACACCATCACACCATCATCACTGGGGGCTGTAGCACATAGGTAGCACTATCATAGAAACATGGCCAGGCCATGGGCCCACACACAGGTTCAACCTCACATGTCAGTGATAAACCATTGGTAGCCAAGAGATCTGGTCTCATTCTATGTCTGACATGAGTGAAAATCACCCCAAGTCAGTATTTTGGCACTGTTCTGTTGAACCAATCTCACATAATTCTGTAATAGGAATATCTTGATGATCAGTGGGAGTGATTAATTTGCAAAGCTGCCGTCCTGGACCCATGGCCAGCCATGGGTCTTGGATGACCTCACAGGCTTGTGTCCTGGATTTCTTCAGGATACCTGATTGACAGCACACGAACGGTGTTAAAAAGGTGCCCTAAAATAGAGAACTAGAGTATAGGTCCAATGTCTGGGCACAGCCCTCCCCATCCAGCCTATATATATGGTACTGCTGGCCTCTGCTTGTCCAAGGCATGAGAAGGGGGACTTCTGGCCAAAAAGTATTGTGCCCAAAGCGTAGGGCCTCCCAGAACATTGGGACTTAGATACCTCTTACCCTTCAATGAAGAGTATTACACTATTTCAGCCTTTGGAAGCTAGGAAGCTCCATATAAAAGAGTTTAAGATACCAAATCTTAGAAAATTCTCAACAAAGTGACATGTCCCCACTGTGAAGTCCCACTAGTAAACAATGCTTCTTCTGTACATAGAACAATCAACACTGTTAAATATGAACAATCAGAGATTCAAAAATAGAGAAAATCTATTTGAAAAGACAGCAAAAACAAAAGGAAATTGGAGGAAACAGATAATGTAGAGAAAGGTGAATACTTAAAAGTCACTATACTATATTCTGTTTACTCAGAAAATACAAGAAATGTTGCCAGTAACATTGATTATCTAATAATAAAAATAAGACATAGTAATAGAAGCATACTATTTTAAAATATATGAAAATATAATAGTTACATATTTTTTAATTCTGGCGAAATGGAAATGAGAAAAAAAGACACAGAGTGGAGTTGAGGGACAAGATCTCTATTGCTCTTTACAAGGTTTGTAGTATACACAGATACAGTCCTCCCTAGGTATTCTCGGGGATTGGTTAAGAGGCCATCAGCGGATACTAACCTGAGAAAGCTTCAGTCCGTTATATAAAATAGCATGGTATTTTCTTATAATGTGCACATCCTGCTATATACTTTAAATCATCTCTAGATTACACATAATAGCTAAAACAATGTAAATGTTATGCAAATAGTTGCTATATTTTTTAAATTTGTATTTTTTAATTGTTGTAGTATTTGAGTGTATGTATATCTTTTCCTGAATATATTTTTACTACATACATATACTGAAATATAAATAATATATAGTTGTATTATAATACATTATTATCAAGTACATAAAATATAATTATGTGTATATATATATACTTAAAAAATATTTTTTTTGCTGAATATCTTCAATCTGTGATTGAATCCATAGATGTGGAACCTGCAGTTACGTGGAGTTAATTATACCCATAATATAAAATGTAAGGTAAAAGTAAGTAGTGTTTAGAGATCTATACATTGGTAACAGGTTGACTTAGGATTGTTTGCTGGCTGTTTCACTTGGGCAAGTAAGGCTCCATCTTCTCTGTAAGCGATAATAGCTCATATTTCATCTGTTTATCTCAAGAATTATATAAAAATATTAGTACATTGTCAGGCACATACTAAGTGTTCAGTAAGTGCTATTATTATTGTTATTTGAAGTAGATTAGCAGAAGTAGTAGCGATTATAGTAGTATTAGGAAATATGATTTAAATCATTTAACATTACCTGTGTGTGAATTTTGCAAGTTGGCAAATTAAAGTCTAGTAAAAAGTGGAAGTATGGTTAATTGCCAATAACATTCTTTATGCCTCTTCTTTATTCGTCTTTTCTCTCAAATATATGCAGTTTGGTTAATGGCTCATAATGTTGTCTGTCTCTGCATTTCAACCCTGAGCATTCTTTAAATTGCCACTGCCACATCTCAACTACTCCTTCAGAATTTATAAGTGGGCTGGCATCTTTAGTCCTAGGACTGTGGGGAGAAAAAAGCCGTACCAGTCTATATAGGTAACATCACTAATTTTCAACTCATATGCAACCATGTTCCCCACACCTTTTATCCTTGAGCCACATTTTTTTTGGCTAGTAGTGATTAATTTAATTTTAAATACAAGTTTAAGCAAAAGCACGATATCGTGAGAAGCACTTGAAGTAACAAAATAGTTTCCTTTATTGCAAAGTTTATTTTAAACCCTCCCAATTATCATCTTCATTGACAATAAAATCAGGCCTTAATGCTGAGTTGCTGTTAAATTTTAATGCTACTTATGTTGTTTAATACAGTGTATAAATTGACACTGAGTCTTTTAGTAGAACTAAGCTTTGACATTCTCTGTAACCATCTACTCAAAACTAATATTTTTAATCAATTAACCCCTCTTTACCCCCTTACTTCATCATAGGCTATATAAAGCAGCATAGATTATTTAACATTTTATAATCTTTTTACATGAAAGTTCACTTTTAGAAAGACAAAGTCATTAGAAATATAATAAACTTTCTGGTTTTAAAAAAGAGTTATAGGTATATAGTATTATAGCTGGAAATAACTTCTCAGCAAATTTTCTGCATTAGATTTTTCCTGTTATTCAAGTGGTGTTATTTTCATCTAACTATTCTGCATGAAGCAGAGTATTTGGAATAAGAGTCTATCCTTTTAGGAAAAAAAATTATTACTGGGAAATCATAGCAGTTCACTGAAATCCTCGGGTGAGTTTTTACCACCATGGTGCTTGGGCACTAGCTTTTCTGTGACTTTCACCTTGAATTAAGGATGCATTGATTAAGGCTTAGCTTGTTAAGACTAGCTAGTGTTTTCTCATGGGTGCATAGCTCTCACTGCTTCCTTTGGGAATATGTAGGTGCCTGTCTCGTCTGGATTTCAGATACTGATCGAGAATCATAATTAAAGTATAGCTGCAGTTTCATGAATATTCAATCACTACATGAAAAGGATTAACTTGTGCCATAGATCAAGTATATGGAAGTTTATAAACTTCATCAGTAAGTATGATATTTTCAGGAAACAAATTCAGGTTTGAGAGAAAGGTCATTTAAAAATGTTTCTTCTGTAATTCAAATTAGTCATTTTTGTGATAGCAAATTTCATGTCGTCCAATTTCCAGGTTTTCCCACCTGTTTTAGGTTTAAAATCCATCATAGCCTGTTCTCATCTTTTCTGCTCTATTCTTTTTCCTGGGATCGTATCTAAAGTCCAGAGTGGGCAGCACTGGGAGGTTATTATGACTTGCACAATGTTAGATCCTGGAAGTCGCCTCCAGTACTACCGTTTTATCCCCCATGATGTAATTCACCCATTGCATCGCTGTCTTTTTCTGATTATGGAATGTTGGTATCTGCTGCCAAAATGTCCATATTCCCACTTGGTCATTGGCTCTACTGTACACTTAGTGCACTGTAGCATTAAATCTCCTGGTCCTGGCTTAAGATCTGCTTTGAATAAAGCAACCTTCTGTGCTGTTCACTGCCATCTGGAGAAACCAGTGGCTGCTCACTGCAACATACTGGGTTTACATGTAGGTTCTGAAAGGCTTGGATCCTTTAGATGGAAATTCTGCCCTTTTCTGTCATATCTTGAGTTCGAGGAGAGCTCTGTTGATTGTGTGCCAGGCAAAAAGTGAGGCACAATTCATCTGACGCTTAATTTCTCACACCTATCTGGGAGTTTTAGTCCACACTCCAGCTAACCCTGGATGTCCTGATGAATGCAGAAATTCTGATCAATGTTTAAGCCTTGTATATTCTATTCTAAGTCCACTTCCTGTCTAGCTGGTAGGAGTTTATTTTGTTTAGAGGGTGACAGTGTCAAGCAGGTTAAGGAAAAATCACCACCACCACCACCAAAGTTTGCTAATGTCTCCCTACATCAAGCAGACACACTTTTTTGAAAGTCATGCTTATGACTAATATTCTGGGAATGTGTTAAGCTGTGATTGAGTGTTTTGATTAGAAATTGCTCCATAGACCATCATTAGGTGGAAATCATGATTTGAAAGTCAATGCATTACATTCAAATCATGTCAATATCCGAATACTCCCTTCAATCACAACCTTTAAGGACATCAAATGTCATGACAATTGAAAGTCAGGAAAGTGAAAAGAAAGTAAGGGAGAAAGAAATGCTGGAGCCTTACACTCATATTATTTAGGCCCCAGTCTCTTCAGGTTCAATGTAACCAACATTCACACAACCCACAAAGTCCTTCTCCTCCTCTGATCAATGCTGTCCCCCGCCCCGCCATTTACTGAGGCACACTATGCCCTTAACTCACATTATCTGTCTTCCCTTTTTCAAAGCTTTAGCACAGTGCTTCGCATATAGAAGTTCAAAATTTTATGAATGAATTGCTGTTGATTTAATTTTTTTATATTTAAAATAGAGTTTGCAAGTTTTAAAAACAATGAGCTTGCTCTGGAGTATTTCAAGTAAAGAACCTGGTCAGAGTTCTTTGGAAAGAAGTACAATGTGTGAAGGGTGGTATGGAGTTGAGGGGCAGGAACAAAAACACAGGTAAAGTTGAGACTAATATGGTTCACAGGTCAAGGTTAAGAGCCAAGGAGCAGGTTCAACACAGTCAAACTTTAAGGGGAGGATTGATAACTCCGAGGGTCTCTGTATCTGTCTAGACCTCTGAGCATGAGGAAAGGCTTGTTGGACTCTGCTGAGACTGTGTAGCAAGCTGATTAAGAGTATTCCAAGTGCTCATTGCGAGGTCATCCAGTCATGTATACAAATCCTCATTTACTTCTTATGACTTTGTAAACTTAAGCTACTTTATTTTCCTGGGTTATCTTTCTATATAATAGAATACTAATAGGACTTACATTTTAGGATTAACAGTGGAGCTCTTTAGGTACATTAAAAAAACAAATTTATTCCCTGTCTTTCTCCTAGGTTATTTTGTGGGTTCTTTGGAGATATACTGTGGGATAAGTTTCTAAATCTCTGTTAGCTGACTATGATTTCTCCCTCAATCTACTCATCTGATTGTATAGATCCAGTGGATGTTTTCTAAAGCTAACGAAATTTAAGCTTAGAGACTCCCAAGGAAGTGTACAAGCCCTTTCCAAAGCCCTGTGAGGAGCCATAATAGTGTATCTACATGATGATGTTTTTTCTTAATTTTTTAAAACTAAAATATTTTTGTACTGTCTTTTCATAATGCCTCTCCCCACAACAAATTCCATTTTATAAGTCCCAGATCATCTGGACCCGCCCTTGTTCACAGTTTTTTTTCTGAGGTCATCTCTATCTTCAAGTCATCCCCTGAGCTCACAATCTTGAACAACTGCAGGCTCACATTATTTTAAGAGTTCCACGTCTGGTCCATGCACCTTAAACCTGATCTGACTCTAATCCATCATTTTCCTCAAACTGTAGGGGAAGTACATAATCTTCTTTGATTATTTTCTTCTCCTCAACCCTACTCAGTTGCATTGAGCCCATGAATCAGATAATTTTGTAAGGAGTGATCTTCCCAATGCTAACCCTCACTATACTTAAACTCCTCCATAGGTAAGAGAATCAGGACTCATATTCACCATCAATTCTCTCCAAAGACATTGCATTCATGAATTTCAACTCCTCTGAATAGCTCCAACGTTCTGTGTAGTCTGGGGGTGGGAATCACCTAACGATCACACAACAGGTTACTGGAAACTTCTTTTGCAAATCCTGCCTTTGATATGTAGCAAATCATATTGGAAAGTGAAAGGTAGTTACGTTCTTAGTACCTGATAAGGGTTGGCAGTGTCCCCACCCAAACCTCACCTTGAATTGTACTATAATTCCCATGTGTTGCAGGAGGGGCCCGATGGGAGATAATTGAATCATGGAGGCAGTTTCCCCCATACTGTTCTCATGGTAGTGAATAACTCTCGTGATACCTGATAGTTCTATAAGGGAAAAACTTTTGCTTGGTTCTCCTTCTGCTGTCTCAGTCTGCTGTCTTATGAGATATGTCTTTCGCCTTCTGCCATGATTGTGAGGCCTCCCCAGCCACGTGGAACTCTAAGTCCATTAAACCTTTCTTTTGTAAATTGTCCACTGTCAGGTATTTCTTTATTAGCAGCATGAAAATGGACTAATACAGCACCCCAGATGAACTGAATGAGGACATTACAATTGTCGCAACTGTTTCACATGTATACAACTTGAGGAATACCTTGAAAATAGAATTCAACAGATGTTAGCTATTACTGTTAGAATCCCTACAGGAACTGGCCCTGGATATAGTAATGATTCAATACCCCTGAAACAATGTCTGGATCTTTAAAACAAATCTTTTAGGGAATTGGAGGAAAAAGACAGGAAGACTGAGAAGAGAGCTATGGCATGTAGGATATGAATTTTTAAAATATTAAAGCAACGTACCTTTCATTAAAATGAAAATACTGCAAACAGACACAGTCATTTCTAATTCTGGAATATATACTATATAATTTTTTTTAGATTAAGGAATTTTTTATTCCAAATTCCAATCACAAGTTATTTGTAGAATTTTGTTTTACTTTTTTTTTTTCTGGTAAGGATCAGCTTAATTTAATTGCACTAAACTATCATAATTTACATCTTCCCTGTAATAGACAATCAATAAAAATAAAGTGATATGAGTATATAGACACTAAATTTAATTTTCTATTCTTTCCATTTTAGGTAACATGCAAAACTATGGTGATTATTTGCAAAAGTAATTGCATAAAATTAACTACATTTAAATTTACAGAAATATGATTTTATATAGCAAGAGAAATAGAGGAAGCCAGAATATAAAAGTAGGTAGATTAGACTGAATAAGCACTAATAATATTTATTTGAACTCCACCTCATTCTTTAGCACAATATTCTTTCACATAAAACAAAAGATGTGGGTGGGTTGTTTACTTGTTTTACATTTCATATTCTAAGGAGAAAAATATGCAACTAATTACCATACTTAGAAAAGAAAACGACTCACATGGAAAGTGAAATTTGAAAAACAATGCACATATATTTCTGCTCTAGTAGTGCAAGAAGGAACTTACACATCAATTTTTTAAAGATTTGAATTTCAAGTTCTTGAGAGTTTATAGTCTCCCTAAGTTATGTTGCCTGTTGTATATGTGAATGTTTTAAATGTTTAAAAAATACTATGAATTATTTTGACTGTTTAAATTACAGTGCACATTCTCTGTTGGTATTTTATCTGTGTTTGCCTCTCTTTTTTTTTTTTTACTATACTTTTAAGTTCTAGGGTACATGTGCACAATGTGCAGGTTTGTTACATATGTATACATGTGCCATGTTGGTGTGCTGCACCCATTAACTCGTCATTTACATTAGGTATATCTCCTAATGGTATCGCTCCCTCCTCCCCCCACCCCATGACAGGCCCCAGGGTGTGATGTTCCCCTCCCTGTGCTCAAGTGTTCTCATTGTTAAATTCCCACCTGTGAGTGGGAACATGCGGTGTTTGGTTTTTTGTCCTTGTGATAGTTTGCTGAGAATGATGGTTTCCAGCTTCATCCACATTTTATAATATTTAAGTAGGAGAGAGATCAGAGAACCAAGTGAAAGAAGTTTGTACTAACATAAAAATCATAAAAATCAACCTTTAACTCAAGGGTATGAATTCTTAGAGGAAACAAAAATGATCATCAAAGCCATGATAAAAAAATATAAATAACTATAATGAATATATTTGGGGTTTTATCAAACTTTCTTTCCTTAAAGATGCCACAACTCTATGAATCTTGCTTTGTCCATATGGTTTGGCTAGAGGAAATCGGAGGTCCTAACCCATAAGAAGGCATGTGACTCGCATAGCATCAATTATACTACTCCAACTCCCTGCCTGCTGGGATTGTTTCAGGGATGGACACATGTCCCAAGCTGACTGGAATTTCCCATGTCTTTAGAGAAGCTTAAAAAATGTGTTTTTATACTTTAGAAATTTCAAGCTGTAAAGGCAAAACAATCACAAGCTGCTAGAGACCAATGTTCCCACCATGTGGAGAAAGTCCCCTTACTGAAGCCAACACAGAGGCAAGCAGAACTTGGAGACAGAAAGAGAGCTGGAGACGGAGAAGCAGTCTAATCACAGTTTGAGATCTCCATTCAGCAGAGTTTAAAGTTAATTATACTCTCTAAGCTTTTAATCTAATTAAATCAATTCTTTTTTTTTTTTTTTTTTTTTGCTTACTTTTGTTTGAGTTGAGTTTCTTTCACTTATATCTGGAAAGGTGGACCTGATTAGGGGATGATTAATTAGCGTCTAAAATTGTGTTAAGTGCTTACAGAAATTGTCGTGTTGAATTCCCACAATTCTGAGTTTTTTCAAACTGGGGAGATACAAAGAAGCAAAGTGACAACCTCAAAATATCCATAACTAATCAAAGGTGGAGCAAAGTTAGACAAGGGAAAATACACTCCCAACAATTGGATGAAATGAACAAATTATCAATGCAAATTTTTATATCTCCATTTCTATATTCTTCAGGTGATATTATATTTCCTGCATCTTAAAGTTGTCCTTTTCATGAGTGTCTTCCTTTTTCCATTTTTTTTTATTATACTTTAAGTTCTAGGGTACATGTGCACAACGTGCAGGTTTGTTACATATGTATACATGTGCCATGTTGGCGTGCTGCACCCATTAACTCGTCATTTACATTAGGTAGCTCTCTTAATGCTATCCATCCCTCCTCCCCCAACCCCACAACAGGCCCCAGTGTGTGATGTTCCCCACCCTGTGTCCAAGTGTTCTCGTTGTTCAATTCCTACCTATGAGTGAGAACATGCAGTGTTTGGTTTTCTGTCCTTGTGATAGTTTGCTCGGAATGATGGTTTCCAGCTTCATCCATGTCCCTACAAAGGACAGGAACTCATCCTTTTTATGGCTGCATAGTATTCCATGGTGTATATGTGCCACATTTTCTTAATCCAGTCTATCATTGATGGACATTTGGGTTGGTTCCAAGTCTTTGCTATTGTGAATATTGCCACAATAAACGTACATGTGCATGTGTCCTTATAGCAGCATGATTTATAATCCTTTGGGTACATGCCCAGTAATGGGATGGCTGGATCAAATGGTATTTCTAGTTCTAGATCCTTAAGGAATCACCACACTGTCTTCCACAATGGTTGAGCTAGTTTACAGTCCCATCAACAGTGTAAAAGTGTTCCTGTTTCTCCACATCCTCTCCAGCACCTGTTGTTTCCTGACTTTTTAATGATTGCCATTCTAACTGGTGTGAGATGGTATCTCATTGTTGTTTTGATTTGCATTTCTCTGATGGCCAGTGATGATGAGCATTTTTTCATGTGTCTGTTGGCTGCATAAATGTCTTCTTTTCAGAAGTGTCTGTTCATATCCTTTGCCCACTTGTTGATGGGGTTGTTTGATTTTTTCTTGTAAATTTGTTTAAGTTCTTTGTAGATTCTGGATATTAGTCCTTTGTCAGATGAGTAGATTGTAAAAATTCTCTCCCATTCTGTGGGTTGCCTTTTCACTCTGATGGTAGTTTCTTTTGCTGTGCAGAAGCTCTTTAGTTTAATTAGATCCCATTTGTCAATTTTGGCTTTTATTGCCATTGTTTTTGGTGTTTCACTCATGAAATCCTTGCCCATGCCTATGTCCTGAATGGTATTGCCTAGGTTTTCTTCTAGGGTTTTTATGGTTTTAGGTCTAACATGTAAGTCTTTAATCCATCTTGAATTAATTTTCTTATAAAGTGTAAGGAAGGGATCCAGTTTCAGCTTTCTACATATGGCTAGCCAGTTTTCCCAGCATGATTTATTAAATAGAGAATCCTTTTTTTTTTTTTTTTTTTTTTTTTTTTTTTTTTTTTTTTTTTTTTTTTGAGACGGAGTCTCGCTCTGTCGCCCCTCATTTCTTGTTTTTGTCAGGTTTGTCAAAGATCAGATGGTTGTAGATGTGTGGTATTATTTCCAAGGGCTCTGTTCTGTTCCATTGGTCTATATCTCTGTTTTGGTACCAGTACCGTGCTGTTTTGGTTACTGTAGCCTTGTAGTATAGTTTGAAGTCAGGTAGTGTGATGCCTCCAGCTTTGTTCTTTTGGCTTAGGATTCTCTTGGCAATGTGGGCTCTTTTTTAGTTCCATATGAACTTTAAAGTAGTTTTCTCCAATTTCATGAAGTAAGTCACTGGTAGCTTGATGGGGATGGCGGTGAATCTATAAATTATCTTGGGCAGTATGGCCATTTTCACAATATTGATTCTTCCTATCCATGAGCATGGAATGTTATTCCATTTGTTTGTATCCTCTTTTATTTCACTGAGCAGTGGTTTATAGTTCTCCTTGAAGAGGTCCTTCATGTCCCTTGTAAGTTGGATTCTTAGGTATTTTATTCTCTTTGAAGCAATTGTGAATGGGAGTTCACTCATGATTTGGCTCTCTGTTTGTCTGTTATTGGTGTATAAAAATGTTTGTGAATTTTGCACACTGATTTTGTATCCTGAGACTTTGCTGATGTTGCTTATCAGCTTAAGGAGATTTTGGACTGAGATGATGGGGTTTTCTAAATATAGTCATGTCATCTGCAAACAGGGACAATTTGACTTCCTCTTTTCCTAATTGAATGCCCTTTATTTCTTTCTCCTGCCTGATTGCCCTGGCCAGAACTTCCAACACTATGTTGAATAGGGGTGGTGAGAGAGGGCATCCCTGTCTTGTGCCAGTTTTCAAAGGGAACGCTTTCCAGTTTTTGCCCATTCAGTATGATATTGACTGTGGGTTTGTCATAAATAGCTCTTACTATTTTGAGATACGTCCATCAATACCTAGTTTATTGAGAGTTTTTAACATGAAGGGCTGTTGAATATTGTCAAAGGCCTTTTCTACATCTGTTGAAATAATCATGTGGTTTTTGCCTTTGGTTCTGTTTATATGCTGGATTGCATTTATTGATTTGCATATATTGAACCAGCCTTGCATCCCAGGGATAAAGCCAACTTGATCATGGTGGACAAGCTTTTTGATGTGCTGCTGGATTCGGTTTGCCAGTATTTTATTGAGGATTTTTGCATTGATGTTCATCCGGGATAATGGTCTAAAATTCTCTTTTTTTGTTGTGTCTCTGCCAGGCTTTGGTATCAGGATGATGCTGGCCTCATAAAATGAGTTAGGGAGGATTCCTTCTCTTTCTGTTGATTGCAATAGTTTCAGAAGGAGTGGTACCAGCTCCTCTTTGTATGTCTGTTAGAATTCAGCTGTGAATCCGTCTGGTCCTGGACTTTTTTTGGTTGGTAGGCTATTGATTATTGCCTCAATTTCAGAACCTGTTATTGGTCTATTAAGAGATTCAACTTCTTCCTGGTTTAGTCTTGGGAGGGTGTATGTGTTGAGGAATTTATCCACTTCTTCTAGATTTTCTAGTTTATTTGCATAGAGGTGTTTCTAGTATTCTCTGATGGTAGTTTGTATTTCTGTGGGATCAGTGGTGATATCCCCTTTAACATTTTTTATTGCATCTATTTGATTCTTCTCTCTTTTCTTCTTTATTAGTCTTGATAGTGGTCTATCAATTTTGTTGATCTTTTCAAAAAACCAGCTCCTGGATTCATTGATTTTTTTGAACCTTTTTTTATGTCTCTATCTCCTTCAGTTCTGCTCTGATCTTAGTTATTTCTTGCCTTCTGCTAGCTTTTGAATGTGTTTGCTCTTGCTTCTCTAGTTCTTTTAATTGTGATGTTAGGGTGTCAATTTTAGATCTTTCCTGCTTTCTCTTGTGGGCATTTAGTGCTATAAATTTCCCTCTACACACTGCTTTAAATGTGTCCCAGAGATTCTGATATGTTGTGTCTTTGTTCTCATTGGTTTCAGAGAACATCTTTATTTCTGCCTTCATTTTGTTATGTACCCAGTAGTCATTCAGGAGCGGGTTGTTCAGTTTCCATGTAGTTGAGCGGTTTTGAGTGAGTTTCTTAATCCTGAGTTCTAGTTTGATTGCACTGTGGTCTGAGAGACAGTTTGTTATAATTTCTGTTCTTTTACATTTGCTAAGGAGTGCTTCACTTCCAACTATATGGTGAGTTTTGGAATAAGTGTGATGTGGTGCTGAGAAGAATGTATATTCTGTTGATTTGGGGTGGAGAGTTCTGTAGATGTCTATTAGGTCTGCTTGGTGCAGAGCTGAGTTCAATTCCTGGATATCCTTGTTAACGTTCTGTCTCGTTGATCTGTCTAATATTGACAGTGGGGTGTTAAAGTCTCCCATTATTATTGTGTGGGAGTCTAAGTCTCTTTGTAGGTCTCTACGGACTTGCTTTATGAATCTGGGTGCTCCTGTATTGGGTGCATATATATTTAGGATAGTTAGCTCTTCTTGTTGAATTGATCCCGTTACCATTATGTAATGGCCTTCTTTGTCTCTTTTGATCTTTGTTGGTTTAAAGTCTGTTTTATCAGAGACTAGGATTGCAATGCCTGCTTTTTTTTTTGTTTTCCATTTGCTTGGTAGATCTTCTTCCATCCCTTTATTTTGAGCCTATGTGTGTCTCTGCGTGTGAGATGGGCCTCCTGAATACAGCACACTGGTGAGTCTTGATTCTTTATCCAATTTGCCAGTCTGTGTCTTTTAATTGGAGCATTTAGCCCATTTACATTTGCGGTTAATAGTGTTATGTGTGAATTTGATCCTTTCATTATGATGTTAGCTGGTTATTTTGCTCGTTAATGGATGCAGTTTCTTCCTAGCATTGATGGTCTTTACAATTTGGCATGTTTTTTTAGTGGCTTATACCGGTTGTTCCTTTCCATGTTTAGTGCTTCCTTCAGGAGTTCTTGTAAGGCAGGCCTGGTGGTGACAAAATCTCTTAGTATTTGCTTCTCTGTAAAGTATTTTATTTCTTCTTCACTTATTGAGCTTTATTTGGCTGGATATGAAATTCTGGGTTGAAAATTCTTTTCTTTAAGAATGCTGAATATTGGCCCCCACTCTCTTCTGGCTTGTAGAGTTTCTGCCGAGAGATCAGCTGTTAGTCTGATGGGCTTCCCTTTGTGGGTAACCCGACCTTTCTCTCTGGCTGCCCTTAACATTTTTTCCTTCATTTCAACTTTGGCGAATCTGACAATTATGTGTCTTGGAGTTGCTCTTCTCGAGGAGTATCTTTGTGGCATTCTCTGTATTTCCTGAATTTGAATGTTGGCCTTCCTTGCTAGGTTGGGGAAGTTCTCCTGGATAATATCCTGCAGAGTGTTTTCCAACTTGGTTCCATTCTCCCCATCACTTTCAGGTACACCAGTGTAGGTTTGGTCTTTTCACATAGTCTCGTATTTCTTGGAGGCTTTGTTCGTTCCTTTTTACTCTTTTTTTCTCTGAACTTCTCTTTTCGCTTCATTTCATTCATTTGATCTTCAATCACTGACATCCTTTCTTCCAGTTGATCGAATTGGCTACTGAAGCTTGTGCATTCGTCACATAGTTCTCTTGCCTTGGTTTTCAGCTCCATCAAGTCATTTAAGGACTTCTCTACACTGGTTATTCTAGTTAGCCATTCCTCTAATCTTTTCTCACGGTTTTTAGCTTCTTTGCGACGGGTTCGAAAATTGTCAGGTTTGTTATTACCAGTCGTCTGAAGCCTTCTCTGAACTCGTCAGAGTCATTCTCTATCCAGCTTTGTTCCATTGTTGATAGGAGCTGCATTCCTTTGGAGGAGAAGTGGCACTCTGATTTTTAGAATTTTCAGCTTTTCTGCTCTGGTTTCTCCCCATCTTTGTGGTTTTATCTACCTTTGGTCTTTGATGGTGATGTACAGATGGGGTTTTGGTATGGGTGTCCTTTCTGTTTGTTAGTTTTCCTTCTAACAGTCAGGACCCTCAGCTGCAGGTCTGTTGGAGTTTGCTAGAGGTCTACTCCAGACCCTGTTTGCCTGGGTATCACCAGAAGAGGCTGTAGAACAGCAAATGTTGCAGAAAGGCAAATGTTGCTGTCTGATTCTTCTTCTGGAAGCTTCATCTCCGAGGGGCACTCGGCTGTATGAGGTGTCAGTAGGCCCCTACTGGGAGGTGTCTCCCAGTTAGGCTACTCGGGGGTCAGGGACCAACTTGAGGAGGCAGTCTGACCATTCTCAGATCTCAAACTCCATGCTGGGAGAAGCACTGCTCTCTTCAAAGCTGTCAGACTGGGACGTTTAAGTCTGCAGAAGTTTCTGCTGCCTTTTCTGCTAGGCCCTGCCCGCAGAGGTGGAGTCTACAGAGGCAGGCAGGCCTCCTTGAGCTGCGGTAGGCTCCACCCAGTTCAAGCTCCCCGCTGCTTTGTTTACCTAGTCAAGCCTCAGCAGTGGCCGAAGCCCCTCCCCCAGCCCTGCTGCCACCTTGCAGTTCGATCTCACTGCTGTGCTAGCAGTGAGTGAGGCTCTGTGGGCGTGGGACCCTCTGAGCCAGGCATGGGATATAATCTCTTGGTGTGCCTTTTGCTAAGGCCATTGGAAGAGTGCAGTATTACAGTGGGATTGTCCCTATTTTCCAGGTACCATCTGTCACGGCTTCCCTTTGCTAGGAAAGGGAATTCCCTGACCCCTTGTGCTTCCCAGGTGAGACAATGCCCCGCCCTGCTCCATGGGCTGCACCCACTGTCCGACAAGCTCCAGCGAGATGAACCCAGTACCTCAGTTGGAAATGCAGAAATCACCCGTCTTTTGTGTTGCTCACCTGGGAGCTGCAGACTGGAGCTGTTCCTATTCAGCCATCTTGGAATCTCTCCCTTTTTCCATTTTTAATTGGTGGGAATCGCCATTATCTGTTTACAGTAAAATCCCTGGAACATTTTTACCACTCCTCCGTCTCTTCAATGTCCGGCCAATTAGTGGTGAATAAAAGGATCTAGAAAAACGCTTAAAAATATCTTAGATTTCACTCAACTGTTACACATTTGATGCATTCATGTTTTCTCAAAATATTTTTGTGTCAGTGTAATAATTTTATATAAATGGAAAAACGGTGTGTTTTCTGCTTTGTGCTATTCTTTATCCAAGTGATTATAACGTGTAGTTGGTAATGTTTACTTTAAATTTATTTTTTAACTTAATATTTTGAAATAATTTTAGACTTCCAGAAAAGTTTATTTCTGATATATACAGGACCCTAATGTGTACATTTTACATTACTATGAAGCCTTTGTCAAAACTAAGAAGGTAATACTGATAACCATTATTAACTAAACTTCAGACTTTATTCAGGTTTCCCAAGTTTTTGTGTTTTTTGTTTTTAATCAATGTTCTTTTTCTCTTCCAAAATCCAAACAAGAGGTCACATTGATTTAGTTGTCATGTCTCCTTAGTCTCCTCTAATATGTGACAATTTCTTAGTCTTTTCTTGTCCTTCATGATCTTGAAAAATTTTAAGGATTTTGCTTGTTTTCCAGAACATCCCTTAGTTTGGTTAGTTTTATGCTTACTCATGATTAGATTGAGGTTATATATTTTTCAGGAATTAAACAAAAGTTATATGCTCATCTCAGAGAATCAGATCATGAAGTACATGTCATATCACAGGTAAAATTATCTTGATAACTTGGTTAAAGCAATGTCCGCTAGGTTTTCCTCACTAAGGTCAACTGTCTTTCCCTTTGTAATAGATAAATATTTTGGTGGAGGTAATTTGAGAAACTACAACATTAATTTCTCTTCAAACATTTTTTTCTGCTTTCTCAGTTTTGTTTTGACTTTTCTAGTTTGTTTTTCTAAACATATGATAGAATCAGCTTGTTCATATCTATGGAATATCTGCAGGACTTTTATGGAGATTGAATTAAATCCCTACACCTATTTGTGGAGAAGTGTCATCTTAACAATGATGAATCTCCCAGTGTGTAAATATAGTACATCTCTCTATTTATTTAGATTTTCTATTGTTTCATTGACGCTTTGTATTAGTACACAAATGCTGTACATATTTTAGATTATACCTCAGTATTTAATTGTTTTTTGGAGCTGTTGTAAATGACATTTTTAAAGTTTTAAATAATTATTGCTAGTTTATGTAATATAATTGATTTTTCCTTTTCTTTTTCTTTTTTTTTTTTTTTTGAGACATAGTCTCGTCTGTCACCCAGGTTGGAGTTCAGTGGCATGATCTTGGTTCACTGAAACCTCTGCCTCCGGGGTTCAAGTGATTCTCCTGCCTCAGCCTCCCGAGTTACATGCCTCTGCCACCATGCCCAGCTAACTTTTTTTTGTATGTTTTGTAGAGACAGGGTTTCACCATGTTAGCCAGGCTGGTCTCGAACTCCTGCCCTCAAGTGATCCTCCCGTCTTGGCCTCTGGATTATAGGTGTGAGCCACCATGCCTGGCCTATAATTGATTTTTGTATATTGACTTTGTATTCCATACCCTTACTAAAATTCAATTATTAGTTGTAAATTTTTTTTTGTAAATTCGTTGAAATTTCTTTTGTTTTCTTTTCTTTTCTTTTTTTTTTTTTTTTCTTGAGACAGAGTTTTGCTCTTGTTGCTCAGGCTGGAGTGCAATGGCACAATCTCGGCTCACCGCAACCTCCACCTCCCATGTTTAAGCTATTCTTCTGCCTCAGCCTCCCGAGTAGCTGTAATTACAGGCATGTACTGCCACGCCTGGCTAATTTTGTATTTTTAGTAGAGACAGGGTTTCTCCATGTTGGTTGGGCTGGTCTCGAACTCCTAACCTCAGGTGATCTGCCTGTCTCAGCCTCCCAAAGTACTGGGATTACAGGCATGAGCCACCATGCCTGGCTGAAATTTTCTATGTAGACATTAATCACGATCTGTAAATACAGATGATTTTGATTCTTGCTTTCTAATCTGTATATATTTTATTTTTGTTTTTTGGTTTAATTGAACTGCCTAGGACTTCTAGTACATGTTAACAGGGGTGCTGAAGGAAGACTCCCTTATCTTGTTCCTGAACTTAGGGGAAACCATTCAGTATTTCGTCTTGAAGTATCATATTATCTCTGTTTTGTTTTTATTTTTGTTTGTTTTTCTCCTTATATATCCATTACAGGGTTAATGAATTTGCTTTCTATTTAAAGTTGCTGAGAGTTTATATTAGGAATGGATATTAATTTTTTCTAAATGCTTTTTCTGCGTCTTTTGAGGTAATCATGTATTTTCTTCTTTTCTGTAAAAACAAGTTGAATGGCATTAATTCCTTTTCACATGTTCAGCCAGCCTTGCATTAGGTGAAACCCCATTTACTGAAACTGTATTATTATTTTTAGAATATATATGTGTGTATATTTTATATGTTACTAAATTTGATTTATTAATACTTGGTTGAGGAGTTTTGTGCCTATGTTCATTTCTTCTTTTTTTTTGTCTTCTGCCTTCCTTGAGGGTAACTTGAGCTTTTTTATTTTTTCTATCATTTCATTTTACTCCATTACTCGCTTACTATTTATTCCTCATTTTAACTTTTGTGTGTATTTATGTCTGGTTGTCCTAGTGTTCAAAACAAGGATCTTCTTAAATCCAAGCCTATCTTCAAATGAAATTATACTACTTCATGTGCAGCAGCAGAACTTAAAACATATACTTCTAATTCCTCCCACTCATTTTTTTGTGCTATGAATGTTATACTTTACGTTTACATTTGGTCTTAACAAATTAATTTGCTAGAATTTTTGCCATCTATGATTTTTAGTGTTTTATGTGTAGCTAACTTTGTTTTAAACTTCTAATTTTAGAATAGTTTTAAATTTACATAAAAATTGTGATAACAGAGAATTCCCATAAACCCCAAACCCATTTACTCCTATTTTTATGTCTTGTATTAATATGGTATATTTTTGACCATTAATGAGCCAATATTTGTACCTTATTAAAGTAGATTATATACTCACGTGAAGAACATGATATATTCAGTTTTTACCTGATGTTATTTTCCGACTCAGGATCCCATCTAGGATACCACATTACATTTAACTGTCATATCACCTTAGACTTCTCTTATCTGTTACCATTTCTTAGACTTACTTTGTTTTTGAAAAGCTTTACAATTTTGCAGATATTTTGAAGATAAAACAGTTGTGAAGACAGTCTTGAATTCATTTTGTAGAATGTCAGTTAGGATCTGTCTTATGTTTTTCTCATGACCAAACTAAGGTTACTGGTTTTGGGGAGCAGGGTCACAGAGATAAATTAGCATTTCTCATATCAAACTGCCTCACCTCAAATCAAAAGCCATAATATGAACTATATTATTACTCTCAATATTAACCTTGATCACTAAATTTAGGGAGTGTTTGTCATGTTTTTCCATTTTAAAGTTACTCTTTTTTGCTCCTTTTCCGTATTCTTTGGAAGGAAGTCTCTATATGCAACACTTCAGGAGTAAAGAATTATACCTGTCCTTCTTAAGGGGATGTATTTACATATATTATTTGGAAATCTGCATGAGATATTTGTCTATTCTCCTTTATTAATTTATTTACCTATTTATTTATTCCATCGTTTATTTATATCATTCTAGATGCAGGACATTTATTTTATATTTGGTTTATAGCCTAATATTACTATGTTTTCAACTTAGATTGTTCCAGTATTGCCATTGGAAGCTCTTCTCGTTATCTTCTGTGTCCTTTTGATAGATTCCCATCATTGTAGATTTTAAGCACTTCCTTATTTTCAGTACTAAAAGATATTCCTGGCCTATTGTGTATATGTCTTAATCCTAGAAACACCAATTTCTACAAAGAGTGTTGATTCCTTTTACTGCATAATTTTATTAGAAACAAAAACCTGTGTGTCAGGTGTGCTTGTTGCTAGTGAGGTATCATTGCTTGGGGCCCTTTCAACTGATAGATTAAGAAAGTATATGTGAGTTACCAACCTGTATATATACACATATCTATAAATCTTTTTATGTTTAATCATATGCATATATATTAAGATAAATATGAATTTATATCAATATCTCCAACTCTAATTCATTACCGTATAGATTATATAGACTTCCTCCTTTTGCTTATCTAACACCACAAAAGAGACTCCTGGCTCTCATCAGCCACCATCCTTTTACTTGTTTTGTCAATTCTACTCTATATGTATAGTGTTTTCAGAATTACTAGTCCATATACCCTTGAGGAAACAACTTGATGAACTACTGTGCAGTGCTTATGTGCAATTCCTCATGCCTTTAACTTTGCAGACAGCATTCATTTTCAAAGTTACTTAGATCAGCACTGTCTTCCTCCAGTCCCTTCAGTTACATTATTTTATGTATTTGTAATTAAGTTAGATTTTTTTCATAATTTGTATTTCATCCTGAGATTGCCCAATAACCTCAGTGATTTTTTTAAATTAGTGTAGCCTTTTCAGACTGATTTATTTTGCTTAACAATATGTGTTTAAGATTAATAAATGTCTTTGCTTGGCTTGAAAAAATCATTCTTTTTCATCTCTGAATAAGATTTTATAGCACAAGTATGACACATATGCCCAGTTTTTGGCAATTGTGTGAATATTTGTGTGCAGTTTTTTGTTTGTTTTTGCAGACCTACATTTTTAGATAGGTAAATATATAGAAACATAATTGCTAGATTGTGTGGTGAGATAATGTTTAGTTTTGTCAGAAACCACAAAACTGCTTTTCACAGTGGTGGTAACAGTCAGTTTGCAATCCCACCAACAATGGATGTGAGTTCCTGTTCTTTTTTATCCTCAACGGCAATTGGTATTTCAGATTTATGGATTTTAGCAATTCTAGTGTATGTATGGTGGTAACGTTTTTATGTGTAATTTCGAATTATAAAATGACTATTTTAAGCATATTCTCACATATTTATTTGGCTTTAGAGTATCTTCTTTGATGAGTTAACTATACAGATCTTTTGCCCATTTAAAAAAATTTTGGTTAATTTGGTTTTTTACTTTTTAAGTTGACATTTTTTTTTTTTTTTAATTAGCTGAGTATGGTGTCACATGCCTGTAGTCCTAGCTACTTGAGTAGCTGAGGTGGGAAGATCGCTGAGGCCAGGAGCTTGAGGCTGCAGTGAGCTAGGTCATGCTAGTGAACTCCAGCCTTGGTGACAGAGCCAGACTCTGTCTCAAAAAAGAAAAATTCTTTGTATATTTTGGAATGTGGTATATATGTAGATATAGATACATGCACACACACACACATACACCATGGAATACTACTCAGCCATAAAAATAAATGAAATTGTGTCTTTTGCAGCAACGTGAATGGAACTAGAGGCCATTAACTTAAGTGAAATAACTCAGCAACAGAAAGTGAAATTCCCCATGTTTTCACATGTCAGTGAGAGCTAAGTTATATACCAACGGACTTAGGAAGTGGAATAATAAGACACTGGAGACTTGGAAGGGTAAGGGGGATGAGGAATGAGAAATTACTTCATGAGTACAATGTACACCGTTCAGGAGATGGGTACACTAAATGCCCAGGCTTCATCGCTCTGCAATATATTCATGTAACAAAAGTTCCCTTATACCCCATACATCTATAAAAATATTTTAAAAAACATTTTTAAATGGATTGTGCTTTTGGTGCTATATCTAGAAACTTATCACCAAATCCAGCATCACAGAATTTTCTTCTCTGTTTTCTTCTAGAAGTGTTATAAGTTTGTTTTGTTTTGTTTTTGAGATGGAGTTTTGCTGTTGTCGCCCAGGCTGGAGTGCAGTGGTGCAATCTTGGCTCACAACCTCTGCCTTCTGGGTTCAAGCGATTCTCCTGCCTCAGCCTCCCTAGTAGCTGGGATTACAAGCATGTGCCACCATGCCCAGCTAATTTTTGTGTTTTTAGGAGAGATGGGGTTTCTCCGTGTTGGCCAGGCTGGTCTCGAACTCCCAATCTCAGGTGATCCACCCATCTTGGCCTCCCAAAGTTCTGGGATTACAGGCGTGAGCCACCACGCCTGGCCAGAAGTCTTATAAGTTTTGCATTTACATTGGAATCTGTGGTCTATTTTGAGTTAATTTTTGTGAATGGTATATGGACTAGGTTCATTGTTTCAGCACCATTTATTAAAAGTCTAGCCTTTCTCTATCAACATACATTTGCACCTCTGACAAAGTTTAGTTGACTGTAGATGTGTGGGTGTATTTCTGGCTTCTCCTATTCTTTTTCATTTGTCTATATATCTATTATTTTTTCAATACCATTCTATCTTGGTTACTGTAGTATTATAGTGAGTCCTGAAACTGAGTAGTGTGATTGCTCCAACTATTTTCTTTCTCTGTACTGTTTTGTTTATTTGTTTTGTCTTTTGTCTTTCCATATATACTTTAGAGTCAGTTTGTTGATGTTTACATCAGCTTTCTGGAATTTTTCATTGGAACTATTTTGAATCTATAGATCGAGTTAGAAAGAACGACAACAATATAGAATCTTCCAATTCATGAACATGGAATATCTTTCCACCAATCGTCACACACCACATGACGACATTTCAGTGACAGACTGCATAACAACAGTAGTCTCATATGATTATAATAACATTTTTTCTGTACATTTTCTATGTTTAAGATATTAGATACACACGTACTTACTGCTGTGTTACAACTGCCTTTGTTATTCTGTACAACAACACGCTGTACAGGTTTGTAGCTTAGTAACAAGAGGCTACACCACATAGCCTAGGTGTGTAGTAGGCTGTGCCTTATAGGTTTGTGTAAGTGTACTCCATGATATTTGCACAATGACAAAATTGCCTAACAACATATTTCTCAGAATATATCCCCATTGTTAAACTATACATGACTGTATTTGACTCTTCTTCAATTTCTTTCATCAGTGTTTGGTATTTTTCTGCACACAGATTCTATACATAATTTGTTATGTTTATATCTAAATATTTAATTTTGGGGTGCTATTTTAATTGGTAGTTTTAAAAATTTTAATTTTAAATTTCATTTTTTCACTGCTGGGCTACAGAAAAGCAACTGACGTTTATATAATAACCTTACATCTTGTGACTTTGCTATATTCTCATTAAATTCAGGAACTTTTATCTAATTCTTTGGGATTTTCTACCTAGAAAATTATATCATCTACAAATAAAGGGAGTTTTGCTTTTTCCTTTCTTATATGTATACACTTCTCTGTTTCTTGTCTTAGGGGAAAGGTGTCCAATTTCTCACTATTAAATATTGTCAATCCCCAATAAAATATTTGGGTACAGAGTCTCTAATGAACTTTCCTTGTTGGCAACATTTTACACATGTTGTTATAATTCATTAATGGATTGAATTAAGCACTTCCTTGTGAATTAATTGGGAGAGGATTTGTGGAAGCTTGCACCTGACTTCCCTTAGACTTTACTCATAAGCCTTTCTCTTTGATGCTTATAGTTGGTATACTTTCATTGTAATAAACGATAACCATGAGTATGATCACATGTTGAGTCCCATGAGTTCCTTAATGAATCATCAAACCTAAAACAGAATTTGGAGACCCCCTCTGTTTCTATTTTCTGTAAGATATCTTGAAGAACTAGTATTGTTACTAAATTAAATTCTTGGTAGAATTTACCAGGTAAACCATCTAAGCCCAGTGTTTCCTTTTTGGAGGGTTATTAGTTATTGATTCAATTCCTACAGCAGACATAGGAGTATTCAGATTGTTAATTTATCCTTGTGTAAATTTTGATAGATTTGTCTTTCAAAAAATTGGTTCATTTTATAGCAGCATGATTTATAATCCTTTGGGTATATACCCAGTAATGGGATGGCTGGGTCAAATGGTATTACATGGCACATGTATAATATGTAACAAACCTGCACATTGTGGACATGTACCCTAGAACTTAAAGTATAATAAAAAACTAAATTAAATTTTAAAAAATGGTTCATTTTCTCCTTAATTTTGGAATATATTTTTTCTCGGTGTATAATTCCGGTTTGATAGTTTAGTTTCTTTCTTTCAGTGCTTTAATAATGTCATTCCATTGTCTTCGGGCTTACCTAGGTTCTGATAAGAAGTCAGCTGTAATTACTCTTTTTCTCTGTATGTCTTTTCCTCCATCTGTCTATAAGATTTGTGTTCAGCATTATGAATATAATACTTTTAAAAAGTCATACCTCTTTGTGTTCTCTGAGTTTTTGATTCTGTGGCTCAATATTTGTCACATTTTAGAAAATTGTCAACCATTGTTCTTCACATATTTCTGCCTTATTCTCTTTTTACCTAATGCAACTCCTAGAAAGCATATTTTAAACTATTTGTTATTGTCTCACAGCTTCTGGGTGCTCTATTCCTTCCTCCTTCTACTCCTCCTCCTCTTTTGTCTTTTTCTCTTTGTGTTCCAGTTTAAGTATTTTTTGTTTACCTGTCTTCAAGTTCACTGATTTTTGCACTTGGCTGTTTTGAATCTACTGATGAGGCCTAAGGCATTCTTTATCCTGTGATCGTGTTTTTCATTGTGAGCATTTCTATTTAACTCATCCTGATGATTTCTGAATCTACTAAAATTGGCCGAAATTACTCATTTAATTTTGCATGTCGTCCACTTTTTTTCCATTAGAACCTTTAACTTAATTTTTGTTATTTTACATGTTTTATGAGATAGTTTCAATATTTGTGCCATACTTCTGTCAGGTCTGTTGATTACTTTGTCTCTTTCCAGTGTGTGCATTTTTTTTTCTTTTTCTATTCTTATGCCTTGTAGTTTTGTTGTTGTTCTTAGTGAATGCCAGACAACTTGTACAAGACAGTAGATAATGATAGTACATAAATAGTTTTTATCTCTGATAATGGGTATGTCTTTCCTTCTGTTGGGCCTTTAGTGTGAGGAATGTATTCATTGTGAGCTGAAATTGGGTTGAGTTTGAGGTTTGTTGTTGCTATGGTTACCATCATTGTACCACAGGTTTCAAGAAACTCTAATGATACTTTATGGTAGGGTGGAAGCTTTGCCAGAGGGTGTTTCTCAATGTCTGTTGTAACCTCAGTTTTAAGTCTTACATTTGCACTTGCAACGTGGAGAGTCTGTCTCCATGTTCTTGCATCTCTCCAAGAAGTATTACACTGTAACCTGTGATTCAGTGTTTGTAGACTGGTTGTGGGGGGATAGCAGAGTAAGTTCTCTTTTGTTCTGATTTAGTCTCAGTTTTAGGCAAACACTGTGCCCCTGGGACTCAGGGATGTGGCCTTTTCAGCATCCCTGCCTTTCTCTCAATGATGTGTCTAAGCTCAACACGTATTTCTGCCCCTGCCTCTCCCTCAGGAGTAGAAAAATTTTGCCTTTCTTTCTCACATTGCAGTATGTTGTTATAGGTGTCCTAAGATGATAATGTTTTTACCTTTTCTCCCACAGATTAAGGTTTTTGTTCCATATTGCAGATAAGGCAGAAGGATCCAGCTGAGAACCCTACTCCAATGGCTGTTCTTCCCCTCTCCCAGTCCTGTTCCTTGAAGGGATCCTTTCTCAACCCTCTCTCTCATTATTTTTGTGAGTATTCATTGAAAGACCTTGGGGAGAAAGAGTTACAAGAGAGTTCAAACTCCCCCTTCATCTTTAGCCTTCTATTTATCCACTTAGACTACCATAAAATACCAAAAACCAGATGGCTTACAAAGCAGGGAAATGTATTTTTCACAGTTCCAGAGCTAGTAATCTAAAATCAAGGTGTCAGCAGGATTGGATTCTGGCAAGGCCTCTTTTCCTGGCCTGTCAACAGCCACCTTCTCACTGTGTCCTCCCATGGCCTGTCTACTGTGCCATGTGCAGAGAGCGAGTGCTCAGGTGTCTTTCTCTCTGTCGTATGGACATCAATTCCATTGAACCAGAGCCCTGCTCTCCTGACATCATCAAACCCTGACTACCTCCCAAAGGTCCCATTTCCAAATATCATCACATTAGAGGGTAGGGGTTCTACAAATGAATCAGAAGGGAAACACAAATCAGTCCATAATAGGCCCCCTTGGAGCTTCACATGCTTTTGCTAGCCCATATGTTGCCCCCTTCAACTTCTTAATTATTTCTAACTCAGTTCTTATGACCGGAATTCTGCTGTTTCTATTCCAGTGAAACAGGTACTCATGTCCCATATCTCTCTGCAGATGCTTATCTCTGTTTATGTTTTGGGGTAGTGGGTAGATATCAACTCTCTGTTAGGTTTAAGAAAAGTTGTAATCTTTTAGTTTGCCTGGCTTTCTCAATTTCTTTCTCTCTTTCTTTTTTTCTTTCTTTCTCTCAGCTTTCTAGGTCTCCTAGTGGTCACCAACATATTTTACTTTTAGGAGCCAAAGTTCAGGTAT
This sequence comes from Homo sapiens, assembly GCF_000001405.40. Taxonomy (NCBI): domain Eukaryota; kingdom Metazoa; phylum Chordata; class Mammalia; order Primates; family Hominidae; genus Homo; species Homo sapiens. Next base: position 165,057,057 of record NC_000005.10, read on the forward strand.
TTTTCTTCCAATGGAATAAATTAATTTTGTGGTAAACGCTTAGTCTTATTTCACAAACGGTACAGAATATATAGCTCAGGTCTCTGAATCAAATTAATCAAAATATAACCTACTCTCAAGCGAGTCCTAACTTATGGCAGTAATAGAGTTGTAGAAGATCCAAAACTATTTCTTATTACACTGCCCCTATGAAATGGACATACTCTAACCAGAGCTCTGAGTTTATTATGTGCCCGAGGCTGTTCATGTGTTGTCTTACTTAATCCTCATAGCAAACATTTGAAGTAGCCAACAGGAAAATGAGGCTTAGAGTGACTAAGAAATGTGCCCAGGGTTGTACATCTAGCAAATAGCATGGATAAGATATGAACCAAAGCAGCTTAACTTCAGAGCCTACACACTTAATCACTGAACTCCTCTGTCTCCTGAGAAATGGAAGTAACCTTCAAATAATCATATGCTGGTGAATGAAAAATAAAATCCATTATCTACTTTCTGAGTTACTTGGCCACCCTTTTGGAAGGTGAATAGGGATTAGTTTTGTTGGTTTTACAAATTCATAAAAAGAGGCCTCCATGAAAGTTTTGAAATAAGTCTTTGTTCATCTGTGTGCTGGCCCAGGTAAAACAACTGTTATTGTTTTGGTGTACTTAAATAGGACATGTGTGTTGATCTAAAATATACACTTAGATTCAGTACTTAGATCTGAGCTAGTGAGCTTTTCATTGTATGGTGAATGACTTTTTCACAATTAATTGCTAATGAGATCCTCCATTGCGTAGAAAATATTCAGAATAAAACTTCAAAATTTTAATGAGTAAAAGTGACCAACGTTTGACCTGTTTTCATAGACACATAATTGAACAATAAGTAGCTATCCTAAAATAATCATGGACTCCAATGGGAGTGTGGTTGAAATGATAATTACTATATTACACTGATTGATTAAGGTTGTGAAAAGTTATTAGTGCGAGGGTGAAGGGTCACAAATTTACGTTGTCCTTAGTTTAATTTGAATTCTGTCAATAAAAGTGGAAATAATTGTTGTACTCATATTTTATAAAAAATTATTCTCTCTTCCAATTAATGTCTTTGTCATTCTGTAAGCAATTAATCCAAAAATAAATTATTGCCTACAACCGTTATAGAAAACATGCCTTATAACATTTTCTAGTTTTTTTTTTCCCGAGTAAGTCTATTGACATAAACTACCACCAACTAAATGTAAAGAAATTTTAAGGGAGAGGAGAATTTTTACATAATTACTCATTCAAACTTGATTTAAAAAGTTGGGAAGGAAGAAATTAATATTTATTCATTGCTAATATGGAATGTTCTAGATATTTTGCATATTTTATTTTGCTATAATAAAATTTGATAAGACACGTTATTTATTCCTGTTTCATAGATAAGGAAGCTAAATCTCATGAGAGGTTACAAAACTTAGCCAAATTCATGTAGATTTTAAAAGGGGTAGTGAAGATAGTTTTATCTGCTTTGCTTCATATTCATTCACCAGCAAAATCACAGTGTAGCCAAAATACATTTCAAAATAACTTTTAAAAATTATTGGCCTAATTTTTTAAAACCTGGTAATATCTTCAAGGTTCCTATTTAATACGTCATCCACTGGTTATTGTATGGAGCCCAACAGGGTACAAAATTGTTCGGAAAACATATATGGGGTTAATAATTTTTCAAATGTCTCTAGTAACAGGGTGGTTACTCTGTTATCCCTTACTCTCTCGGCAAAACTATTAGCTATGTAAACATGTGACATTTATGACTGGAGGTGTTAATAAGGCCTCGTTAGAGATTTCAACCATAATTAGCAGTAATTACCCAGCAAAATATTACCAAACAGAAAAAAGAAAAAAAAAGAATAAGAGAAAAAAAATAATAAAAACACAAATAGAAATAGAACCAGGCAGACTTATTTTCAAATTCTGGCTCCAACACTTACCCAGGTCATGTGATTTTGAGCAACCAGCTTAACCTCTGAGCTCACTTTTCTAAGTTGTCAAAAGGAGATAATGTCTGCCTTATGTGGTTATTGGAATATTCAGTTATGTAAAGATTTCTAGCACAGCTCCAGCACCAAATACTCAATAGCTGTCAGTTTCTTCTTTTCCTTCTTCTTTTTTTTCCCCTTGTGTTAATGTCTAATAATCAGCACCATTCCTAAATTGTCCTAGAAAGTGGCCATCAGCATGGGGTTATGTTTTAAACCATATTGCTAAAAATAAACCAGGACCTGAAGGAGATGCCACTTGATGTGGTAATAGTTGAAGCACCGATGGTGTCTTACTTTATACTAAAGTGGAAATGTAGAAATCCCTTAGGATGATGACTCTTCACGATGTTCAGGAAGCATTATTCTCCATAGAAGGAGAGAATTGTTTTATATTCTTCCTTGATAATGTGTCTCATTACACCTTTCAAACATATACATTTCATTACACACTTCTATTAAAGCATCTCATTAAAACTTTCAAATATGTACATCTCATTACATTTCCTTTAAGCATCTTTACATATTCTCCATTTGTGGATTTCATTAAAGCCTTTCCCTTGTATATCTCATTACTAAACTACTTTCATGTATGTTATTATAACCTATATTTCTCATTACGTTACTTAAACATGCACATCTCATTACACCTTTCTATTTATGCATCTCATTACACTCCTCAAAAATGTGTATCATATTACATCTTTCTTCTCCTTTGCATATCGTTACATTTGTCCAATTAAGCATCTCATTATGCCATTTCCTTTATGCATTTTATTATATCCTTCCTTTTATCCATGCCATTACACTCCTTAAACCCAAGTATCTAAGTAAACCTCTACTGTGTGCCATTGTATACACGTCACAGGTATGATCTTCGTTTTTCCATGTGTCACTTTTCTGGCACCCTTTGAAGATACAAATCTTGGTCTGAGGGACTGAATTGCTTTTTAAATATACATATCTTATCACATATTTATTACATTTTAGAAAATGTCCCTTTTATACTTTAAACTATTGTTTTTTTCCTTTTCTATTAAAACCTTTCAAGAATAAGTGACTCATGCTCTCTTTAATAATGTCGAGTAATAGGTCTCACCACACCCTTCAAATAGCAACATCTCCTGTATTAGAGACCTTTGCATCCATAAGCTTTCTTATATTCTTTTCAAATATGTGCATCTCATTGCTGTCTCTTGGATATGCAGTGTTATTTACCCTTGATCAATTACATTTCTTTTCCTACCTTAAATCTCTCTGTCTTAGATGGTTGGGGTTATAGCATCTGTTCGTTATCTTCAGCCATAAATGAGATTTCTCCTGTTGTTTGTTCTTCTCGAGGTTATTACTTTTCCTCTATACAAATATCCTCTCTCCCTGAGGCAATAGATGCCTTTGGAATAAATTAAGGAGTCAAATATAGCCAAATGGTCTGTGAGTTACTTTACATAAATTCTATTTTATTATGAGAGCATTTTTGTGGTGGTGCTATTCAAAAGCATCAAATTGTTGCAACCTCAATATTCACTATGCTTTAATTGTGTGATTTTTGTGAGTAATAATCAAAGAAACTTTTGTAGGACATTTATTATATAGACATTATAATCAAGACTCTATCAACAACTAATCCATTAGAATCTAAATAATATATCCAAAATTCTGTAAATTGGAGTGTAAATTGGGACACCTGCCAAGTATAGTGACTTGATAACATTTATAGAGTATTGACCCATCCAGCCCAGACATACCTCTGTCATCAAAAGAATACTAGTTAGACCAAGTAGACTTGAATTTAAGCCACACTCCCTTCTACTATGTGAAAATTGGGCAAAGCTTCTTAATTTCTTTAAGTATCTTTACCATGGCATGAAGATAACTTATACATCTACCGCCCATTAATGTAGTTGAAAATATATATGTATCTATCTCCTATTAAACAGAGATAATTTTTGATAAACATGTTTTAAGGTGATTTGTGCCATTTTTTAAATTTCTTGTTTAGTCATCTTTTATCATTCTATGATAATTTCTGAGCTCCTACTATGTTCCAGGTACTGTTCCAGTTGGCAATATAACAAGAAGAGACAAGATCCAGATTCTAATGGAAATCTATTTTTTGGGGGGAGATGTAGATAATTACTCAGGATGTAAAAAGAATGAACAAAATTTCAGATAGTGAGAAATATAACAAAGCTGAGAAGCAAATGGTATATTGAGACATACAGATGCTTAATATTTGATGCTTTTGAATAGCACCACTACAAACAACAAAAAGTAGCTGTTATTACCCCAGGCCAGAAGGACAAGGGCAGGGGATATGGTGTCACAGGAACTGGATGAAAGCTGGACACTGAGAAGGCAGTCTTCCAGATAGGAGCTGTGGTTCTAAAAGGATGAAGCCAGTGACAGATCTATAGCACTAAAGAAGAGAAAAGAAAGGGAAAAATAGCCCCAAATTCTTCCTGCCCCTTCTCTGCTCTCTTACTGCCACTTGCCATTGTATGAGTCCAATAGGATAGAAGAAAGAACCATGGTGATACATGCTGTAGGACACTCCACTTGAAGACCCTAATCAGAATACATAAGTAGTCTAAATGGGAAGAGAACACACAATCCACGTCCACTCTATGTGATTTTGCCATGCCTAACTCACTACATTCCTTTTTTTTTTTTTTTTTTGAGATGGAGTCGCCCAGGCTGGAGTACAGTGGCACAATCTCGGCTCACTGCAACCTCCACCTCCTGGGTTCAAGCGATTTTCCTGCCTTAGCCTCCTGAGTAGCTGGGACTACAGGCGCCCGCCACCATGCCCGGCTAATTTTTTGTATTTTTAGTAGAGACGGGGTTTCACCGTGTTAGCTAGGATGTTCTCAATCTCTTGACCTTGTTTTCCACCCCCCTCGGCCTCCCAAAGTGCTGGGATTACAGGCGTGAGCCACCGGGCCCAGCAGTTACCACCAAAAGATTTTCTTATGGAAGAATGTATTTATTCTTAAAATCCCAATTGAAGACAATATTTATGTTATATGATTAAAAAATTGCCTAAATCAATGAGCTCAACTGACATTGCTGCTCCCCTGTTCGCTCTAGATCCACTGCACAAGTTCCCTGACAAGAAAGTTTACATCAGTGGGACGGCAGGAGCTGTTCCTGCCGAAACCAAAGAGCATACCCTGATCTACCTGGCTCTGCATTATCTTCCCTAACCTACTCTCCAGTATCTCCTCATTCATCTCCCTTCCAAACTGTGTCTCAGTCACTGTGGCCTATTTTTTCATATTTGTTTAGTAAACACAGGTTGTTGTCCTCTTCTGATTCGTGGAACTCTGCTGGAAAGTACTTTCTCCACATTTTACCATGGCTGCTGCTTTCTCATTTGTTCCAGATTGAGCTCAGTGGTCACCATATCAGGGGGATATCCCAGGAGAGCCCACTTATCTAATGGGTCTCCCAACATTATACTCTCATACTCTTATCACAATATTTTTTGTTTTCTTTCTCTCTTTTTTTTCATCACTTAACAACCTACTTGATACTCATATGTTACCTGCCTCCCTCACTGCTTGAGCTCTCCAAGGTCATCATTCTTGTTCCCCCTCTTTACTTGCTTATCACAGAGTTCCCATTACCAAAAATACTTCATGGTACTTAGTGATCAATAAGAATTGAATGAATGAGTGAAGTGGGTAATGATTTTCCTAAAATTTATTATTTACTCCACTTGCTTAAAAAAAAAAAAAACAGATTCTGTGACCATCATTTAGATAGGGGAAACAATATAGTATTTTTTTTTTTTTTTTTTTTATAAAAAGATAAAGAGTATGTGTCGATACAAGTAGTGGGCATAGTTGGCGTGCCTTTCCATTACCAAGGAAGTATTCAACACCAAACTCTCAAGGGGATGGGTATATTAGAGACAGCACCTGGTGCAGTTTAAGTCTTATTGCAATTATATAGAAGTGATTTAGCTTAAAACATTTCAGTTATCATTTTATACTGTGAACAATGTTCCCAAAGTTTCTGGACTACTTAGGATGCTGTAATGGTTACTACTTATAAAAAAAAAATACCATTATGTAAGTTAGACATTTACTCAATAAAAACATGCATAAAAACTTTGACTAAATGCCCCTTTTTCTTAGCATATACACAATCACATGCTTAAGAGGTGACATGTGCTTTTCTTCAGTAACTAATATTGCTGGAATAACAAAACAGTAAACTGAAAATATAAATTATAAGAAATAAGGAAACTACAAATCATTTTTTTCTTTTTAAAGAAAGATATTATAAATCATATAATATCAAAAGTATCTAAACTTAGCCTAGAGAAATTACTGTACTCTTTCAATAATCACTTGAAGGCATTTTACCATACTATGCTTGAAATATTTTGAAAACAAGTTGAGTATTATCTAATTTTTTAAGTTCTATACCCAGGTTAAAAACTGCTTTTTAAATTCCCCCAAATTTTGTCTCTAATGATAGTAATATAAATAACTAGATATTTCTAATCTTTAAAATAAGAAAGAAAACTTTTCCACAGTGGACAAATGAATTGAGAGTTATGAATGAATTCACATACTTGGAAATTTATGTGAACTATGAGGTGTAGAAATATACAAAGATACTTTAAAAGATAGCACATAGAAAAGATCTATACAGTTTATAGTTTTATACATAAAACACCATCTACCACATACTCAGGAGATGCTCACTGGAGATTTAAGGGAAACTTGTATGCTCAAAACAGAGATTTATAGTAGTTTTATCTCTGCAAGGCACTTAGCTAGAGAAACAACTTGTGGCATAAATGTCAACTATTTCACACCCTTTTCCATATTACAAGGACTTTGATTTAGCTCCTTAGGACATACCACTACATTTACAAATGCCACCTCCCGACTAAACCAGCCTTTCTTACATGTGAGCCACAAACAGGATGTGAACTTGTTCTAAACCCAGGTGTTCTTTGAGTTATTATCTGTTCCAGAAATATATGAACATACACATGTACACACACATTGTCACAATTCAGGTAAAGGCATTCAGAAAATTTTAATAAGACTAAAATATTAATGTAAATTTGGCACAATTTGAGTATATATATATAGAGAGAGAGAGAGATAGCATTTATTGAGCAACTACTATGTGTTTGGCACTGTACCCTGTACTATGCAGCAGAAAGAGTAATACAGTTATTAGCTTCATTTCACAGATGGGAAAGCAGAAGCTTAAATACCTAAATTCACAGAGCTAATAAACAGAAAAACTAGGTTTTAAACGAAAGCAGTCTTTGATCCAGAGCATGGGTTTCTAACCTTACTGTATCGTGGGTATTATCGGCTTACTCTCAATTTTATGAAGCCCTAAAGTAACAATCTCATCTAAAAATCTCTAATAGAAACACTTTCTTTTGTGGTTAGGTACTGTTTTCTTAGGCTTATCTCTTTTAAAATTCAAATAATTCTTAAAGGACTTAATGTGTTTAAGTCTTCTATTTATTTGTAAGCTTACCTACTCCATGGGACCAGAGGCTTGTCATATTTATTCTTTAATCCGCAAATCTAACCTAGCACCTAGCCCAAAGTATGGGTATCCAGTGAATGGATAATGCATGTCAAGGTCTTAAACAGCTGAATGAGGATGCTAGGCAAATGTGAGTGTGTGTCTAATGTGTGAGAATGTGTATGGAAAACAATAAATTCAGATATTAAGAATATATAAGAAAATGGAAGAAAGGGCTCTATCTACCTCATAGGAGAACAGGAAATGCCGTTAAGCTGATGAATTTATTTAATCCAAAAATAAATGGAGGCAGTGCAAGTAGAAAATAATTTCTGCTTCAAAACAGCATATTACTATAAATTAACAGTTGAATGTATGAATTTGTTAGCTCTGCAGCTATAGGCAAATAAATATATTCATTACCATGATGGTTTAAAATAGTGTCTAAAGCATTTAGAATAAATCAGAAATACCACCGAGTTCATTTGAAAAAGTGTCCATTCAAAATAGCAATTTATAGTTAGCAAGTTTTTTCCTATGAATTATTCATTATTTGAACAAATATTTGAGATACATCAGAGAACATAGAATAATAAGATCTTGCCCTCTCGTGGCTTATAGTCTCATAAGGATATGACAACAACAGATAATAGACATAATAAATAAGTTAACTATATAATCTATTAGAAGGTAATTTGTAAGATAAAGAAAACCGAGTAGGATAAGAGGATTGGAAGCACAGAGGGCAGAGCACAATTTAGATAGAATGTATAGCATAAGGCTCATGAAGAAGGTGAGCTTTCCTCAAAGGCTTTAAGAAGGTTAGGGAGTTAGTAAAGTGGTTATCTGGGTAGCTGCTTTAAACTCTTAGTTTAAGAATAGTAAACTTCTAGATCAAAGGGCCTATGGCGGAAGGGCATCTGGCCTATTCAATGAACAGCAATAGTGTGACCAACTGTTCGAATTTGCCTAGAATTGCCGTGGTTTAACACTGAATTCCATGTGTTGGGAAACCCCTCAGAACCATAGAAATGTATTGTCTCATAGTTCTGAAGGCTTAATGTCTGAAATCAAAATCTTGGCAAGGCAATGTTCCTTCTGAAACCTATAGAGGAAAGAACCTTCCTTGCCTTTCCAGATCCTGGTGGTTTGCTAGCAATTTTCGGTGTTCCTTGGCTTGTAGATGCATCTCCTCCATCCTCCATCTTCATGTGGCCACCTTCCCTCTATGTGTGTCTGTCTGTCTACAAATTTCCCCTTTTTATAAGGACCCCAGTCATATTGATTTAGGGCCCACCCTAATGACCTATTTTAACTTGATTACTTCTGTTAAGATCCTGTTTCCAACCAAGGCTACATTCTGAGGTACCTGGGGTCAGGACTTCATATCTTTTTGGGGTAACACAATTCAGCCCATAACAATTGTAGAGGTTAAATTCTGGATATATTTTGAGGCTGATACCAGCAAGATCTCCTGATAGATTAGATTTGGGAGGTGAGTGAGAAAGACATGAAGTATATCTCTAAATTCTCAGCCTGAGGAACTAAAAGATGTACTTGTAATCTAGTGAGATAAGGAAAGCTATGAGTAGAAGAGATTTGGAGGAAAGATCGGAGGTTCAGTTTTTGTTTGTTTGTTTTTAGATGTTCTCACTCTGTCCCCCAGGCTGGAGTGCAGTGACTCGACCTTGGCTCAGTGCAACCTCCACCTCCTGGGCTCAGGCAATCCTTCCACCTCAGCCCCCCAAGTAACTGAGACTACAGGCGCGAGCCACCACGCCTGCCTAATTTTCGTATTTTTCGTAGAGATGGGGTTTTGCTATGTTGCCCAGGCTGGTCTTGAACTCTTGAGCTCAAGTGATCTGCCTGTCTTGGCCTCCCAAAGTCCTAGGATTATAAGTGTAAGCCACCGTGCCCAGCCTCAGTTTTGAACAGGTTGAGTTTGGAATATCTGTTGCCCTCCAATTGAGGTTGTAAGTAAACAGATATACAAGTCTAGGGGTCAGGAATCAGGTCTGGACTGAAAATATGCTTTTGAGATGGGTCAGCATATTGATGATTTTAATGTTCTGTAAGTAGAATAGATAGCCAAGGTGTCCACACAGGATACAGAAGAGTATTCCAAGCTAGTTCTGTGCCTGGGTCTTTTATCACCTAAGATATTTTCATTTATTTCAGTTGGTGTTATAAAATCCCCAGGAAGAAACAAATACTTTATTTAAATATTTTTTAAAATTCTTATAATATCTTTAGGAAAGGAAATATTATTAGAGAATGAAAGATAGATTGACAATTTCTAAGCATTTGAGAAACACTGATTTAGAACTAAAAAAGAATATTTTAACTGGAAGATAAAATCTTTGGGATAAAGTTTGCAATTGCCTTCAAAATCTGAAAGCATAACTATTGCAATTCACTATATCGAAGACTGTCGTAGGAGCCAACGCTGTCAGCATTTCTAATGGATGGCTCCTTAGAGTTCTGGCACACTGTCTTTGGTGTAGACTGGCATCATAGTGGATTAGCTCTTCAGTTTCTTTCCAGCTCTTTTTCTCTTCCACATACACAATCTGTCTGTGTCAACTTTATTTCTACCAAGCTGGAGAAAATGAGCTGAAGTAGGGGAAGAGGGAAAATTGACAGGGAATATATTCCTGACCAGCATTTGTGATATATTCTGTAACAGATAGGAAAACATGTCAAAAGATGGCCAGAATTTGTAATCTCTCTAGGCACAAATCCCATCTTGACTTGGAGGAAGTTAAAATAAATGTAACCTTTAGAAAGTTAAACTTGGATTTAGAGTGTGAATGTCTGCCAGTCCTATCTGATTGTCTTTCCAACAAAGATCTAGGATTTTCCATATTTACTATATACTCTTTTGCAAATAATTGCAGACAGATAAAATATAAAATATATTAAAATCACTCTGGAACATTTGAGATGTTCTAATACAGCTTTCTCATCCTATGGACATTTGGGGCCATGTAAATCTTTGTTCTGAGAGGCTGTCCTGTAGCACCTCAGAGTCATGACAACAAAAATGTCTCCAAACATTACCAAATATCCCCTGGAAAGGGAAATTGTGCAGTATAGAGAGGCAAACTTAAATGTTTTCTCTTTATTGTTGTTGTTTGCTTTATCTTTCTACTGTGTTTAAACCAAGTTAGTAACTGCCATTTTACACACATAACCTCCTCTATCTCTCCATGCTTTGTACTGATTGACTTTTAGATGTCCTTCTTTCCAAAATTACACAAAAATTAAGGATCTAGTGAGAATTAGTCTTTCGGGCTTCCACATAACTATAATGCCCTATTAGCTGGCTCCTTCATACTTAGTGCAATGATAACTGATGTTTATAATAAACTCAAAGCCTCATGAATTTCTCAAGTGCCTTTTGAATAGCCAAAGAAAGTTAAATTTCATTAAGTGTGGTTTTAAGTTTAAGTGTATTTTAATGTATTCACATTTTTTAAAATTGGTATTGTATACACGTGATAACTTTTTCCATTATTTGACCACAGGTGTACACAGAGGCAATACTAATAAATCCCTTTGGCATGACTGAATCATTTAAAGACATTAAGATGTCAGCTCAAGTTGGGCTGGAATTGGTACTTATTTCTCTTTTTTAAAAAGGTATTTACTAATAATTTATTGAAGTATTTATCTTATAGCCTGGTATATTTGATTGAAAAAATAGAATATTAACTCATTTACAAGTGATCATATGTTTTTATTTAATTTTTTAAATCAACTTTTATTTTAAGTCCCAGGGTACATATGCAGGCTGTGCAGGTTGCTAACACAGGTAAACGTCCACCACGGTGGTTTGCTGCACAGATTAACCCATCACCCAAGTATTAAATTCAGCACCCATTAGCTGTTCTTGATGTTCTCCCTTCCCCCAACCTCCTGACAGGCCCCAGTGTGTGTTGTTTCCTGCCAATGTGTCCATGTGTTCTCATCACTCAGCTCTCACTTACCAGTGAGAACATGCAGTGTCTGGTTTTCTGTTCCTGTGTTAGTTTGCTGAGGATAACAGCTTCCAGCTCCATTCATGTCCCTACAAAGGACATGATCTCATTCCCTTTTTATGCTTGCATAGTACTCCATGGTGTGTATGTACCACAGTTTCTTTATCCAGTATATTGTTGATGGACATTTGGGTTGATTCCCTGTCTTTGCTATTGTGAATAGTTCTGCAATGAATATACACGGGTATGTATCTTTATAATAGAATAATTTATATTCCTTGGAGTATATACCCAGTAATGGGATTCCTGGATCAAATGGTTTTTCTGCCTCTGGATCTTTGAGGAATCTCCATACTGTCTTCCACAATGGTTGAACTAATTTACATTCCCAGTAACAGAGTAGAAGCATTCATTTTTCTCAGCAACCTCACCTCCATCTATTGTTTCTTGACTTTTTAATAATTGCTGTTCTGACTGGCATGAGATGATCTCTCATTGTGGTTTTGAATTGCATTTCTTTAATGATCAGTGATGTTGAGCTTTCTTTCATATGTTTGCAGGTTGCATGAATGTCATCTTTTGTGAAGTGTCTGTTCATGTCCTTTGCCCACTTTTTAATGGGGGTTGTTTTTATCTTGCAAATTTATTAATTTCTTGTATACTCTGGATATTAGACCTTTGCCAGATGGATAGATTGCACAAATTTTCTCCCATTCTGTAGGTTGTTCACTCTGATGATAGTTTATTTTGCTGTACAGAAGCTCTTTAGTTTAATTAGATCTGATTTGCCACATTTTGCTTTTGTAGCAATTGCATTTGGCATTATCATCATGAAATCCTTGCCCATGCCTATGCCTATATCCTGGATGGTATTGCTTAGATTATCTTCTAAGGTTTTTATAGTTTTGGGTTTTACATTTAAGTCTTTAATCCATCTTGAGTTAGTTTTTGTATATGGTGTAAAGAAGGGGTCCAGTTTTAATTTTCTGCATATGGCTAGCCATTTCTCCCAGCACCATTTATTAAATAGAGAATCCTTTCACTATTGCTTATTTTGTCTGGTTTGTCAAAGATCAGATGGTTGTAGATGGGTGATCTTATTTCTGAGTTCTCTATTCTGTTGCATTGGTCTATGTGTCTGTTCTTGTACCAGTACCATGCTGTTTTGATCACTGTAGATTTGTAGGATAGTTTGAAGTCAGGTAGCATGATGCCTCCAGCTTTGTTCTTTTTGCTTAGGATTGTTTTGGCTATATGGGCTCTTTTTTGGTTCCATATGAATTTTAAAATAGCTTTTTCTAGTTCTGTGAAGAATGTCAATGGTAGTCTAATAGGAATTGAATCTATAAATTACTTTGGGCAGTATGGCCATTTTTGCAATATTGATTCTTCCTATCCATGAGCATGAAATGGTTTTTCACTTGTTCGTGTCCTCTCTGATTTCCTTGAGCAGTGGTTTGCAGTTCTCCTTGAAAAGGTACTTCACTTCCCTTGTTTGCTGTATTCCTGCATGTTTTATTCTCTTTGTAGCAATTGTGAATGAGAGTTCATTCATGATTCGACTTTCTTTTTGCCTATTGTTCGTGTATAAGAATGCTAGCGATTTTTGCACATTGATTTTGTACCCTGAGACTTTGCTGAAGTTGCTTATCATCTTAAGCTTTGGGGCTGAGATGATGGGGTTTTCTATATATAGGATTATGTCATCTGCAAAAAAGATAATTTGACTTCCTCTGTTCGTATTTGAAATACCCTTTATTTCTTTCTCTTGCCTGATTGCCCTGGCCAGAACTTGCAATAGTATGTTGAATAGGAGTGGTAAGAGAAGTCATCTTTGTCTTGTGCTGGTTTTCAAGTGGAGTGCTTGCAGCTCTCACCCATTCAGTATGATATTGGCTGTGAGTTTATCATATATGGCTCTTATTATTTTGAGGTATGTTCCTTCAACATCCAGTTTATTGAGAGTTTTTAACATGAAGGGATGTTGAGTTTTATTGAAGGCCTTTTCTGCATCTATTAAGATAGTCATGTTTTTTTTTTTCCTTTGGTTCTGTTTATGTGATGAATTACATTTATTGTTTTGCATATGTTGAACCAACCTTGCTTCCCAGGGATGATGCCAACTTGATCATGGTGGATAAGCTTTTTGATGTGCTGCAGGATTTGGTTTGCCAGTATTTTGTTGAAGATTTTTGCATGGATGTTCGTCAGGGATATTTGCCTGAAGTTTTCTTTTTTTTGTTGTATCTCTACAGGGTTATGGTATCAAAATGATACTGGCCTCATATAATCAGTTAGGGAGGAATCCCTCCTTTTTCATTATTTGGAATAGTTTCAGTAAAAATGGTACTAGCTAATTTTTGTACCCCTGGTAGAATTCAGCTGAAAATCCTTATGGTCCTGGGCATTTTTTTTGGTTGGTAGGCGATTTATTACTGCCTCAATTTCGGAACTCGTTATGGTTATTTAGTGATTCACTTTCTTCCTGGTTCAGCCTTGGGAGGGTGTAGGCATCCAGAAATTTATGTGTTTCTTCTAGATTTTCTAGTTCATGTCCATAGAGATGTATATAGTATTCTCTGATGGTTGTTTGTATTTCTGTGGGGTCATTGGTGATATTCCCCCCTTACCATTTCTGATTGTGTTTATTTAAATATTATCTCTTTTCTTCTTTATTAGTCTAGCTGGTGGTTTATTTTATTAATTTTTTCAAAAAGCCAGCTCCTGCATTTGTTGATTTTTTGAATATTTTTTTGTATCTCTATCTCCTTCAGTTCCACTCTGATCTTGATTATTTCTTATCTTCTGCTAGCTTTGGGATTTGTTTGCTCTTGGTTCTCTAGTTCTTTTAGTTGTGATGTTAGGTCATTTCATTTGAGATCTTTCTTGTTTTTTTTTTTTTATGTGAGCATCTAGTGCTATAAATTTCCATTTTGACACTGCTTTAGGTACATCCTCGAGGTTCTTGCATTGTCTCTTTGTTCTCATTAGTTTCAAAGACATTCTTGATTCCTGTCTTAGTTTCATTATTTACGCAGAAGTCATTCAGGACGAGGTTGTTCAATTTCCATGTAGTTGTGTGGTTTTGAGTGAGCTTCTTATTATTTTATTTTGAGACAGAGTCTTGCACTGTCGACCAGGCTTGAGTGCAGTGGCGCAATCTCGTCTCACTGCAAGCTCCACCTCCCAGATTCACGCCATTCTCCTGCCTCAGCCTTATGAGTAGCTGGGACCACAGGTGCCCGCCACCAAGCCTGGCTAATTTTTTGTATTTTTAGTAGAGTTGGGTTTCACCATGTTAGCCAGGATGGTCTCCATCTCCTGACCTCGTGATCTGCCCACCTCGACCTCCCAAAGTGGTGGGATTACAGGAGTGAGCCACCACGCCTGGCCAGTTTCTTATTCTTGAGTTCTAATTTGATTGTGCTGTGATCTGAGAGATGATTTTTTATGATTTCAGTTTTTTTGCATTTGCTAAGGAGCGTTTTACTTCCTACTACGTGATCAATTTTAGAGTAAGTGCCATGTGGTGATGAGAAGAATGTATATTCTGTTGTTTTGTGGTGGAGAGTTCTGTAGATATCTGTAAGTCAGCTTGATCCAGAGCTGAGTTAAAGTCCTGTATTTCTTTAATTTTCTGACTCAATGATCTGTCTAATATTGTCATTGGGGTGTTAAAATCTCTCACTATTATTGTGTGGGAGTCTAAGTCTCTTTGTAGGTCTCTAAGGACTTGCTTTATGAATCTGGGTGTGCCTGGGTGTGCATATATGCATATAAATTTAGGATGGTTAGCTCTTCTTGGTCTGTTGAACTCTATATCATTTTGTAATGCCCTTCTTTGTCTTTTTTGATCTTTGTTGGTTTAAAGTCCATTTTGTCAGAAACTAGGATTGCAACCCCTGCTTTTTTTGTTGTCCATTTGCTTGGTAAACTTTCTTCCATCCGTTTATTTTGAGCCTATGTGTGTTTTTGCATGTGAGATGTTTCTCTTGAAGACAACATACTGATGGATTTTGACTCCTTATCTGAGTGCCATTCTGTGTCTTTTAATTGGGGCATTTCTTTTTTTTTTTTTTTCTTTTTTTTTTGAGATGGAGGCTTGCCCTGTCACCAGAAGACAATATACCAATGGGTTTTGACTCTTTATCTGGTTGCCATTCTGTGTCTTTTAACTGGGGCATTTCTTTCTTTCTTTTTTTTTTTTTTTCCTGAGATGGAGTCTTGCTCTGTTGCCCAGGCTGGAGTGCAGTGGTATGATCTTGGCTCACTGCAACGTCTCCCTCCCAGGTTCAAGTGATTCTGCTGCCTCAGCCTCCCGACTAGCTGAGATTACAGGCGTGTGCCACCACACCCCGTTAACTTTTGTATTTTTAGTAGAGATGGGGTTTCACCATGTTGGCCAGGATGGTCTCAATCTACTGACCTCGTGATCTGCCCACCTCGGCCTCCCAAGGGGCATTAATTTCATTTACATTTAAGGTTAGTATTGTTATATGTGAATTTGATTCTGTCATCATGATATTAGCTAGTCATTTTGCCAACTTGTTTATGTAGTTGCTTCATAGTGTCGCTGGTCTGTGTACTTTGGTGTGTTTTTTTAGTGGCTGGTGATGCTCTTTCCTTTCCATATTTAGTGCTTCCTTTAGGAGCTCTTTCAAGCCAGGCCTCAGCATTTGCTTGTCTGAAAAGGATCTTATTTCTCTTTTGCTTATGAATCTTAGTTTGGTGGTATATGAAATTCTGGGTTGAAAATTCTTGAAGAATGTTGAATATTGGCCCCCCAATCTTTTCTGGATTGTAGGGTTTCCATTCAGAGGTCCCCAGTTCGTCTGATAGGCTTCCCTTTGTAGGCGACCTGGCCTTTCTCTCTGGCTGCCCTTAACAGTTTTTCTTTCGACGCTGGAGAATCTGATGGTTATGTGTCTTGGGGTTGATTTTTTTCTTGGAGTATGTTACCGGGGTTCTCTGGATTTCCTAAATTTGAATGTTGGCCTGTCTTGCTAGGTTGGGGAAGTTCTCCTGGATGATATACTGAAGTATGCTTTCCAACTTGATTTCATTCTCCCTGTCTATTTCAGGTACTCCAATCAGTCGTAGGTTCAGTCTTTTTACGTAATCCCTAATTTCTTGGAGGTTTTGTTCATTCCTTTTCATTCTTTCTTCTCCAACCTTGTCTGCCTGTCTTATTTCAGAAAGATAGTCTTCAAGCTCTGAGATTGATTCCTCTGCTTGGTCTATTTGGCTATTGATACTTGTGATTGCATTGCGAAGTTCTTGTGTTGTGTTTTTCAGCTCCATCAGGTCGTTTATGTTCCTCTCTAAACTGGATATTCTGGTTCTCAGCTCTTGTAATGTTTTATCATGATTCTTCGCCTCTTTGCTTTGGGTTAGAATATGCTCCTTTAGTTTGGTGAAGTTTGTTGTTACCCACCTTCTGAAGCCTACTTCCGTCAATTCATTATTCTTAGCCTCAGCCCAGTTCTGTGCCCTTGCTGGAGACATGTTGCAATTATTTGGAGAAGAGGCATTCTGGCTTTTTGGGTTTCCAGGATTTTTGTGCTGATTTGATTCTTTCTCATCTTTGTGGGCTTATCAGCCTGCAATCCTTGAAGTTGATGACCTATGAATGGGGTTTTTGTGGGGTCTTTTTGTAGTTGTAGTTGTTGTTGTTTCCTGTTTTTTGTTTGTTTGTTTCAATCAGACCCTTCTTCCACAGGCCTGCTGCAGTTTGCCAGGGGGACTACTCCAGACCCTAGTTAAGACCCTCCCACACCAGGAGGTATCTCCAGTGAAGGCTGAAAAACAGCAAATACAGCAGCCTGCTCCTTCCACTGGGAGCTCCGTCTCAGGGGGGCACTGACCTGATGCTGGCTGGAACATTCCTGTAGGAGGTATCAGGACATCCTCTACTAGGAGGTCTCACCCAGTCAGGGGGAATGGGTTCAGGGTCCCACTTAAAGAAGCTGTCAGGTTGCCCCTTGGCAGAGTGGTATGCTGCACTGGGGGGATCCCCCCACGTCCAGACTGCCTGGTCTTTGCAGAAGCAGCAGGTGAGAAAGGCTGTAGGCTGAGCTGCAGATACAGTAGCCACTCCTCCCCGTGATGGCTTCATCCCAGGGAGAGATCAGAGTTCTGTTCATAAAACTCTGGCTGGAATTGCTGAAATTCCCACAGAGAGGTCCTGCTAGGTGAGGAGGGATGGATTATCGGGGTCCCACTTAAAGAACCAGTCTAGCTACAATTTGTCACAGCATCTGTGCCACACTGCGGGGAATTCCTCCAAGTCCAGACTGCCCAGACTCCCCAGATCTAGCAGGCCAAAACAACCTGCTCCAGCCACAGAAATGGTGGCCACCTCTTCCCCCAGGAACTCAATCATCTCAGGCAGTCTCCAGCTTGCTGTTGCTGGCCAGCAGCTGGGGTTCCAAGCCAGTGGGTCTTAACTTGTGAGGTGCCTGTGGTAGTGAGGCCCTCAGAATGACTCTGCTTGGCTCCCTGGTTTCCGCCCCCTTCCCAGAGCACTGCACAGAGGAACTCCTGTCTCACCGGAATTCCTGGGGCCAGAGAATGCAAAAACCCCTGTGTCTCCTGTGCTTGTCCAAGAGGCTGCTGAGAGACCTCATGGCTCTGTGCTTCTAACCCAAAGCCCTGGTGGCATGAGCTCATGAGATCTCCTGTCTCATGGGTTGCAAAGATCAGTGGGAAGATAGTGGTTCCCCCCAGCAGGGTCACCCAATCACTCACTGCCTCCCTGGGCTGGGTTTGGGGTTTGTCCTGGTTCTGTGACACTCATAGGTGGGCCGTTGCCCCACCATGCTTTTCCTTACTCTCCATGGGTCGCATCACAACCGCCCGTAGTCAGTTCCGAAGTGAGAACTTGGATACCTCAGCTGAAGATAGAGAATTCACTCACTGTTTTCTTTCTTCTCTGTCTTACTTTTCATTTTATATTTCACATATCACACTATGGAAGACAGTTTCAAAGCCCAGACTCTGTCTTGTCTTCTGTAGGAATTAGTTACAATTTAGGAAACACAAGGTCTTTACTTCTAAAAGATCATAAGGAAGAGTTGTAGCCAGAAACACAAAGCTATGCTGCATCACTGTAAATGGGACTGAGAGCTTTATGTAATAGACTACGGTTTGTAGGCTGTCTCAGTTCCATAATGGAGCTCTCAGATATTTCAAAGAAACTAAAGCAATTTGGCTCATACTTATCAAATGAGTTATCATTTCAAATGCTTGCTACATCTTCAATTATACCATTTACTCATTGAGCAAGGAATGTACTGGTGGGAAAAAGCAAACTTACAATAACTACAAAATAAGGTATCCATATTGTTCAGGACAAATGAAATATTAAGGTGATATAAATGTAAATATTAAGGTAAATAATAGACATATATTTTGTTATAAATAAACGTAAGTAACTGCTATTAGGGAGATAAGTTCTACACCAGATTTACGGGTCTTTTCTTATGGGAGTTGTATGGCTGTTTTATTCTTTGAGTGTTTCTAAAATATGTATCTAATAAGCTAGAAAATGGAGAAAGAATTTGGAACACCATTTTAGATAGAATGGTAAGGTGGAAACCTAGCATGTGACTTTTCAGAAGAGTCTTGAATGAAATGAGTGAGCCATCCAAGAGAAATTCTGAAGATCCAAAGATTTCCTTGCCCCTCAGGCAGAGTTAACAGGAAGTGCAAGTACCCTTAGGCAAGATTGAGCTTGGCTTGTGCCAGGACAATCAGCTGGCCAATACGGATAGGGCAGGTGAGGAGAAGACTAATTAAAGAACAGATAAACAATTTCAGCTGACATTTTTTTCTGTATATTGGAATTACCATATGGTGTCATATTCTTGTTCAAATTTAATGTCATACCCTCCTCCCTTTGTGCTGTTAATGTCACATATTGCTTCTTTCAATGTATAAATCTTACTGTGGTTTTTTCAGTATTAAAATTTTATAAATACTGTTTTATGCAATTAAAAACATCAGCTTGAGAGAAATGGAGGAAAAAATATATTATCCCGTATTTAAAATTTGTCTTTATAATTGAATGTATTGGCACTCTTTGTTTCACCATGTGGGTTTGTATTGCTATCTGGTGTGACTTCCTTTAGTAGTTTCTGTAAGGCGAGGCTTGAAGCAAGAAATTCTCTCAGTCTTTATTCATTTGGTTGTGTCTTTGTTTTGCCTTGATTTTTCAAAGATAGGTTGCTGGATTCTTGGTTGACAGTTGTTTGTTTGTTGTCTTTCAGCATTTCAAATATGTCATCTTAACCACTGCCTTCTGGCCTCTGTTGTTTCTGATAGGAAGTCAGCTGCTAAAGTACTGGGGTTACCCTGTGCATGATGAGTCATCTTTTCTCTTAATGCTTTCAATATTATCTTTGTCTTTCAACTCTTTAACTTTTGATGTGTTAGGTGCGGATCTCTTTGTGTTCATCCTGTTGGAGTTTGTTGAGCTTCTTGGATGTGCAAAGGTCTTCATCAAATTCAGAAGAGTTAGGGCCATTATTTTCTTGAGTATTTTGTCTGCCCCTTTCTTTCTCTCCTCCCATTTTGGTGCTGCTATTAATATATGGTTTGGTTTGCCTAATTGTGTCTTAAAGACCCCTAAGACTTTGTTCATTTTTACTTATTTCTTTTTCTTTTTTTTTTTAGAAAATCTCAGATTGGAATATTTCTATTTATCTATTTGATTTTTTTCTTGTGATCAAACTACTGTTGAGATCCTTATAAAGTTTTTATTTTAGTTATTCGATTTCCAATTCAAGAATTTCTATGTGCTTAATTTTTATAATTTTATTGGTATTATTTGATAGATCATCATTATACTTTTCAGTCTTTAAACATTCTTTTAGTGCTTTGAACAAATTATAGAAGAAGATTTTGAAGCATTTATCTGCTAAGTCCAACATCTAAACCCTTTCAAATGCAATTCTATTGTCTGCATTTTTTGACTGTAAGAATCAAACATACTTAATTTCATGCAATATTTCATGATTTCTGAGACACTATAGAAAATATTGTAGCAAATCCAGATTACGATCCCCCTCTCCCAGAGCTTGCTATTGTTACTTTATTTAGTGATTTATTCTCATAAATATTGTTAAGCTTGTTTTCCCCAGAGTGTGCAACCTCTGGTACCACTGTTCAGGTTTTTACTAAACACGCACATACGCTTAAGCCTGAGTTCCAAAGTCAGTATAGCTTAATGGTCAGCCAATCATTTGTCAGAAGTTGTGCTTTAAGGCCTCTGAGCCAATGAGGCTTTCATCCTTTGCCAATAGATCTGTGTGTGTCTTGAGTGACTTTTTAAAGTTCAAGGTGTTCACAAGTCAGTCCTGCATTCAGCCAAGAACCAATGGCTCACAAGTTTCATTTACTCCTTCATGGAGATAACTTTGTGCCTATACACAGCCTTCCAGGGCACCAGTGAAGAGTCTAGTCTTAACGGGGCCCTTTGGGTTATTGCTGTCTGTGGGTCTCCCTGCTACATTTCTGCTGTTTTGTTTCTTTTTACTGCTATCATGGAGATGTTAGCCTTCACTGGTTGATGATCTCCGTGATCTCTATTGTTTATGACAAAACTACTGGCAATAATTTTTTCCATGCTTTGCTGCAGATAAAATCAGCCCCTTCAGACAAGGGCACTTAGCTGACTATGCCTTAGAGCCTGCCCTGGCAATGCCTGTAGTGGAACTTTTGCACCCTGGAGCTGAGGGAACTGATGGAGAGCTGCAGATCCTCTTGGGCTGACCCACTTGTCCAGAATAGAAATTCCGTAAAACAGAGCTGGGCAGGGAGGGGGTGGCATCTCTTAATAGAAATGTCACAGATTCTCATTTTCCTTACTGAACTTCAGTATATTCTTTTGCATAGCCACTTCCAATTCTTTATATGCCCATTGTTCAAGTCCTAGAGACCACAAAATTGGTTTTCATCAAATTTTTCCAGTTTTGTCACTATTTTTCTGAAGAGAGGATTTGTCAAGCTCCTTACACAGCCATGCAGAAATTCTGGAATATTTTTTATTGATTTTAATAAATGTATACTTAAGGGATATAAAATGGCAGAATGGGTTTGGTGACATATTAGGTACATTAAATTCATGAGTATGCATGTTACTCTGAAGGATAATCCATATGGTAGAATGATTTTCACACCTTAATTCCATGGATTTTAACTTCTTTTGCTGATGTCTATATTTTTTCCCATTAAATAAAATGACCATGTAAATGGATTAAATTATTATTGAGTCAGTGGTTTACTTAACTGACCAAAATTTAGTTTTATTTTGAAATCTAAATACATATGAGTGTGTTAAAATGTTTATTCTACCCTTCCTGTTCCTTTGTTCTAATTTTCCTCTACCAAAACCTACTCTTATTTGATTTCTTTTCATTCTTCTAGTGAAACTGATATCAATCATGCAAATAGTCAAATTCTAATAGTTAAGAAAAAACTATCAAAATTTTCTGTCTCAAAGGCCAGATGGCACCTTGTAGACATTTAAGAGCATTTCATTAAAATAATGGCAATCAAAAAGAAAGTTTTTAACAATTTCCTTTTATATACCTCTTTTTGGGTCATTTTCACACTGTTTTCTCATTCCCGAATATCTTTTTTTAATCTTGGGATTCGTCCATACCTATATGTGGATTATCTAATACACCTAGTTTTCCATTACTTCCCACCATTACATATTGCCAAATATGACATAATGCATGAGTCTTTATAATATCACTAATTATTTAAAATTAAAGTATCGACCAAATAATGATGATTTATAAAGAGTTTTAAAGGGTGTTCTAAAACAGTCAGAAAGGAAATTTCCAGACAAATACTTTCTGAAATTCAGTTTATGGGCAGATAAAACTAAAATATTTCAGTTGAATGTAATTAATAGAGCGTATACTATTCAATATTGAACTCTGCTTGGAGTATTCCAAGTAACGATAATATGGTTAACCTTAAACAAAAACAGAAACAAAACCAAATCCTGCAGCTTATTATTTGGCAGACAGCCAAATGAATATTGGCATAAATAAGTAGTCCCTGAAAAGTATACAAGACATAGAAATTAATTATCCTAAACTAGTTAATTATTTCTTTTCACTCAGAGCATGAACGCATTTTTGCTAACTGTTATTAATTTCAGGAGAAAAATCTATATTACAGGACTCAAGAAATCTTCCCTGAATGCACTGTTTTGGGGAAAAAAGGAAATGTTTCCTCTTATTATTATAAAACATACCAGAAGGGGTAGTGCTTACCTGGCTTGCTACCTGAAAATTAAAATGTAAAATACTGACTATATACAGTTTTAAATATATATCTTTAATATATTCTTTAAACTTCAGTTATAAGAGATGCCCAAATTCACACTATGAAAGACATAGGTATCATTAGCAATATAGTTACTTTAAACCTAACATGTAATTATCTAGAAATAATATCCACTGGGGTTCATGAGAACCTCTCCATTAGGGCCATGAAAAACTCTTAGCTTAATGTGGCTAAAAGCATAGCACTTACAAAATATCGAATCTGGATTTCTCTTTTCATTGGCCAGGTTCTCATTTCTCTTTTTATCCTGAACTAGCTTACGCTAGAAAGAGTATTTCCTTATGGCAAGACCCTTGTTACTGATTAAAGACAATTAAGACACTTGGCCTCTTCATCATCTCAAGTGTAAAACTTAAATTTGGTTTTTATTCAAGTGCATTTAAAGGTGGTTGCTACTCTTCAGTGGTCTCCACAAAGTACCTACTACTACTACTTTCAATTCTTTATTGTCTATCCATGCTGAGCTGGGCTGTAGTTCTGCCCTCTATTATTAGGCACCTCATTTGCCCATCATCCCGTATTCTCTATGATGTGAAGATTTGGTGTTTTCTAGGATCTGGTCTGGATTTTCCTTTTTTATTATCTATAAAATATCTTTATCCTTTTTTATATCTATAAAATATCTATAAAACATTTGCACAGTAAATTTTTAGTTTTTTTTAATTGCATGTTAATCATCCACTGGAAGACTCATAGACTACTGTGACTTTCAACACTTTGCCTGCAGAGTAAAGGACTTTACTCATATTCCTTGCTTTAATGTGTGTGCAGCAATTTCTCAAACTCAAATTTATATCTTATTTAATTTTGTTATGAAGGAAGAGTCCAAAATTAACTAGAGAATCTATTTTTTGGGTCAAGAGCCAGGATATTCCTGATGTTGATACAGAATATGTCATTCATTGAAGTATTTTTGTACTTGTTCTTCTGGAAGTGTGTTAGTAATAGGACAGAAAACTAGCTTTATCTAAATAGCTTTCTAATGCCTTCAATTATTTTGCTTATTAAAACCTGTAAAATAATGTCTTCAGTGCTTAGCAGATAATTTAACCTAAAGTAGTAGTTCACAAATATTTATGTAGATGCATGCATTTTAAGCTACACTAATACATTCAACTGAACATTTCTTTGACAAAGAGAAAAAGTATGGAAGCACATAATAAATTTGAAGGAGAATTCAGGAATATGGGTATCCCCAGCTCACAGGAGCTTAAGTAAGATTGATGGAACTTCACTGACCACTGAAATATGAATCTAAATGCCAGGGTTTATATAAAGCTAGAGAATGACCATAAGACAGATTATTCCACAGGTGGAGCAAGGGGATATTCAAGATCACTTGTACTGTATAATAAAGGATCTGTTTCTGTCGTTGAGATCATACCTTCTTTGTCATCCAAACTTGGAGTTCGAAATGTTGACCAATTCCTCTTATGCTTATATTTAGTAGGACACCAAATGCTGTGTGTCACTCTAATTTTTTTCATTCTTATTGCTATCAAATTGAACAAAATATGTTCTCTACAGCAGCCTCTTCAGAAACTATTGTGACTCAAGCCTCATTTCCCTCTAACTCATTGTTTCTGCATGTCATGGAAATATTGATAGGTCTTAAATACTCTTGCTTTCTAAAAAAAAGTAACACAATACTTTCATGAATTGAAATCAATATGAATTGCGTTCTGTTTATTAACAAGTCTAAAACTCTCTGACTGAAAATGAGAAGAATGATCTGATCCTCCATGCAACCCATTTAGCCATGTCTGCCTTTCAAATATTTCTACCCTTATCTGATTATTCTCCTTTCTCTTCCACAAAACACTCTCTTACTTCCATGGTTTTATTTTAGTCTTTTTCTTTGCATGAGTACACACACATATTAATTGTACCAATTCAACACTTAAACATTCAAGTTAAAATACAAAATGTTGAGGTTTTTTAAAATAATTTATTGATTGTCAGTTTATTAATAAATCTCTATTTTTTCTTTCTTTTTAATTTTTTAAATTTTTTTATTATACTTTAAGTTTTAGGGTACATGTGCACAACGTGCAGCTTAGTTACATATGTATACATGTACCATGTTGGTGTGCTGCACCCAATAACTCGTCATTTAACATTAGGTGTTTCTCCTAATGCTATCCCTTCCCCCTCCCCCAACCCCACAACAGGCCCCTGTGTGTGTCCCTTCCTGGACACAGTTCCCCTTCCTGTGTCCATGTGTTCTCGTTGTTCAATTCCCACCTATGAGTGAGAACATGTGGTGTTTGGTTTTTTGTCCTTGAGATAGTTTGCTGAGAATGATGGTTTCCAGCTTCATCCATGTCTCTACAAAGGACATGAACTCATCATTTTTTATGGCTGCATAGTATTCCATGGTGTATATGTGCCACATTTTCTTAATCCAGTCTATCATTGATGGACATTTGGGTTGGTTCCAAGTCTTTGCTATTGTGAATAGTGCCGCAATAAACATACGTGTGCATGTGTCTTTATAGCAGCATGATTTATAATCTTTTGGGTATATACCCAGTAATGGGATGGCTGGATCAAATGGTATTTCTAGTTCTAGATCCCTGAGGAATCGCCACACTGACTTCCACAATGGTTGAACTAGTTTACAGTCCCACCAACAGTGTAAAAGCGTTCCTGTTTCTCCACATCCTCTCCAGCACCTGTTGTTTCCTGACTTTTTAATGATCACCATTCTAACTGGTGTGAGATGGTATCTCATTGTGGTTTTGATTTGCATTTCTCTGATGGCCAGTGATGATGAGCATTTTTTCCTGTGTCTTTTGGCTGCATAAATGTCTTCTTTTCAGAAGTGTCTGTTCATATCCTTTGCCCACTTTTTGATGGGGTTGTTTGTTTTTTTCTTGTAAATTTGTTTGCATTCATTGTAGATTCTGGATATTAGCCCTTTGTCAGATGAGTAGATTGCAAAAATGTTCTCCCATTCTGTAGGTTGCCTGTTCACTCTGATTGTAGTTTCTTTTGCTGTGCAGAAGCTCTTTAGTTTAATTAGATCCCATTTGTCAATTTTGGCTTTTGTTGCCATTGCTTTTGGTGTTTTAGACATGAAGTCCTTGCCCATGCCTATGTCCTGAATGGTATTGCCTAGGTTTTCTTCTCTATTTTAAAAGCCTGGATGATTTTTAGTGTATCATACAATTTAGTTCTTAACTATATGTACTATTTTACATTGATTCTTTATTATCATGTTTGATTAGTCCTTGCATCAGTTTGGAGGGCCAGCTAAAAGGAATATTTAATTAGCAGCAGCTAGTTACTTGACTTAAAATGTACGGTGTCAGTGTGGATTTGATTTGTTGAATAGCCATTAAATTTTCTATTCAGAGAGTGAATTTTAAAAGTACTTTCAATTACTTCAGTGTCATAATACATCTATTTAACTGATTTAATATTATATTTTGAGCTCCTAAGTGCATTTAGATTTTTATTTCTTACAAGGATAATGAATTTAGTTATTGAGTCTAACAAATATAAAAGAGAGCTGTTACCTTTATTCTATTGTTTCAAAGAACGTTTTGTGGACAACTAGGAAAGCCTGAATGAAGAATTATTAAATAGTAATGCTCTCATTCACACAATACCATCTGAGGAGGAGTCTGAAAGGAAAAAGGAGTGTTAATAGGCAGGGTCATATTGTGTCAATGTGCTAATGCTATCACATTCTCTCCATCATATGAACATGCTTGACTGACATGTCTCTGCTCTTCTCCAGTGATGCATGGCTTGTTCATTGTGTTGGGCAGAGTTAGCTGCCAGACATTGCAACTGGGGCATCAAGCTGAGTTTCTTTATCTGTCATTTGCATTTCCTCCTTTCAAAATATTTATTTTTTATAAAAAAATTAACACAACTGTCAATAATAAATTTGGAGCTGTGCTAAATGTAAATTTTACACCACATATTCCAGAGATTCTATTCTAATGCCCCCACTCCAAAAAATATAGAAGAGTGAAGGTGGATCCTAATTCTCAATTCACCTTTTTAATTATATCTTTAAAAAGAAAAAAATAAGTTTTCACTGTGTGAGCTTAATTAAAGTAAATGGAGAGTTTAAAAGATGAAAGAAGCATGTTGTTTTTTAATTGTGTTGTTGACTTAAAACATAACGATCTTTGCAACTCAGCCCATATAACACCATCAGAATTGGTTGCATCTATTTTAATACAGGTTCATTAAGGAAAAAAAAATCATCCTTCACAGTTTATTTCAGAACTAAACCCATAATCTGTGGGTGAAAATCACCTGTGTGCTACTCTTTAGGATTTTATTGGTCTCTAGTTGGAGGCATATGAGAGGTAAATCAATAAAACCAAACTTTTTCATTTAACTTGAGGTCATTCTTAGGTTACTTCAATCTTGCTTCAAAAGGTAATTTAAGGAAGAATTTATTTTGTAATCAGGCAACTTGATTTACAATTTTTTTCTAATAGTGAACTTTGTATGCTTAATGTTTAAAATGTTGTAAAAATAATAGCCAGAATGGATAGTACATGCAGAACTGTGACTTGAGACTAAGAACTTGTGCATAGGAAAGATAGAATGCAGTGGAAAAATAACTCAATATTATTAAGAACAGAAAGAAAAAATAGAGGCAAGAACACAGGTAGAATTTAATCAAGCGGAACAAATATTCCAAATAAGACTAAATCCCCCCAAGTACTCTGGTTTCAGCATTCACTAAAGCTTCTCTATGCTGTTTTTACTAGACACATTTTAGTGAACAAAACTCCATCCAAATGAGAGGCTCAGAAATCACTGTCAGTGTGAAACCCATTCTTTCAGAAAGCTTTACCTAGGGGGAGGGAGCATGGTGAAGCTTGAATGAGTTTGAGTAGAAAACGAAAAGTATCCTCATATGGGGGAAGGGCTTGGGCAAGGAATTGAAAGGAAGGTCTAGGTCTACATGCTCTACAGTGTGTTGGGCAAGAATCTGTCTATCCTTTCTCTCTATGTAGTAGAAAAAAGCTAAATATTCCACAAATTCACATTGGGAAAGGAAAAGCAAAATCCTAAGAGGGATTTCTAAAAGTGTCAGTGTCATTAAGAAAGCCCTAGAAAAATGTACCAACTATGAGAAAGTCAGATATTTATTCACCGACTGTTAATGTTTGTCTTCTTATATCAGTCACTGTGATGACAATCTATTAGTGATAGATACCATGCCAATGCATGGTATTCATATATATGTATATATGTGTGTGTGTGTATATATATATATATATATATATATATAAAATATATAAATACACACACACAGACACACAGAGATAGGGATACACACACACACACACACACATACATATACATGCATGCACACTCTTACAGGGTACTGACAAAGGCAGAGAAGACTATTTCTGTCCAAAAGGATATAAAAGGAAGAAATACTTGCATGAGCTGATTTCTGACAAATAATCAGGCAGAACATTATCATTTCATCACTTTTACTTGAGCAATACCAACTCTAAATTGGACTTCCTGTCTTAAAGTTTATCTTCAGGTCGGGTGCAGTGGTTCACACCTGTAATCCCAGCACTTTTGGAGGCCGAGGCAGGTGGATCATTTGGGATCAGGAGTACGAGACCAGGCAGGCCAACATGGCAAAACGCCGTCACTACTAAAAATACAAAAGTTAGCCGGGCGTGGTGGCACCGGCCTGTAGTTCCAGCTACTCCAGAGGCTGAGATGGGAGAATCACTTGAACCAAGGGGGCAGAGGTTGCAGTGAGCCAAAATCCGCCTTTGCAGTGAGCCAGAATCCGCCATTGCACTCCAGCCTGGGCAACAAAGCGAGACTCTTTCTCCCCCCCAAGAAAAAAGCTATCTTCAGTTTTGCTTGAATCACCACTTTTATACTAATGGACACATTATTGTATCTGTAGAAAATTTATATTCTATGTGAAGGAAATTGTGGTGAAAATAAATGGTAGTGGACATCCTGTCCTGGTTTTAGAGGTTATGTTAATGTTCATGAAAACTCATTAAGACATTATAAAGAACATTAAGATGTATAACATTATTTTTCTATTCTCCACTATTTTGTGGAAATTTATTTGAATGACCAAATTTTATAGATTTAAGATTATTTTGGGATATGAGTTGCTTACCGAAAAATCAGTTTTTTTAAAAAAAAATTGAATTCAAATTGTCCATATTAACATTAAACATTCCACTAAACTAATGTGATAATCAGAGTCATTTTATAATTATTTCTAGGAAAGAGTAATTTTGAGTAGTAAGTGTTTTTCATAAGGAAAATGCAGTCAATTTTTAGAATACAAAAGGCTCATCCACTTGGAGGATGAAAGGCTTTAGCATGGGTAGTAAAACTGTTCATTTCCCCCTCCCAACACAATGCTGGTCTAAAATAAACCAAATTCTTCATATAAGGAAGAACATATGCACAAATAATTTATTGCTTCAAAAGTTACGAAGCCTTAAATCTATTTCCCAAGATGTGATTCTAAAGTGCAGCTAGAGGACTGTTGTTTTGGAATATGAAAGGGAGATGTAACTGATGGTTCTGATTAAAGATCGTTTTGAATTCTCTCTTTTTTAATGGAGATGAAGAAAGCACATTTTGTATGGAGTTTTGTTTTGACTCAGCCTGCCATGAAGCTGTTTAAATCAAGTCTTATGCCCACATTATTCTGATTGCCAAAAACATCAAAACATCAACAAAGGAAATGCTAACCTTGAATTTTCAGCTTGTATTTCAGCCCTTGTAAACAAGTTACCATGGAGATGATACCCAAGTGAGCTACAGGATTGACTCAAAACAGCCACTGTGTGTGGACTGACAGAACAATATAACATGGCATCAGTGCTATTCATGACAAAACCTGCATATATCCTGTGGTACCTAAGAGTTCGTCTGCAAAATGCCATGTGAAAGCTCAATATTTGCCAAACCTGCCATGAATTTGGTTGAAAGGCAGAAAAATCAGGAAGGACAAACTAAGAATTATAGGTTCGAATATTAGAACTTTGGTAACACTTTTGTGAAGGTAATAATGTAAGCTAGTATTCTCTGAGCCCTTTTAGGAATATGTAAATCTAGAAGAAATCTCGATTGTAGCTGTAAATTATTCTCTTGGAGCAAACCCAAGAGAATTTTCAAGAAGGCTAAATTACGTCTGACACAAGGGGGAAAAAAAAAGCAAAATAAGTCCTGTCATTATGGAACACCATTCATGTCTTCTACTATTTGTATAGGCTGCAATTGAATGGACAACCCTAGTAAAAGTAAAGATTTAATTGGCTTAGGTATCACTTTGAAAAAATTTTGCCACCACAAAAATAGCATTCCTGTACCCAGGAAATACTTTTTTTTTTTTTTGAGACAGAGTCTCACTCTGTTGCCCAGGCTGGAGTGCAGCAGTGGCGCAATCTTGGCTCACTGCAACCTCCGCTTCCCAGGTTCAAGCGATTCTCCTGCCTCAGCATCCTGAGTAGCTGGGATTACAGGCACCCACCACCATGCCCAGCTAATTTTGGTATTTTTAGTAGAGACAGGGTTTCGCCATGCTGGCCAGGCTGGTCTTGAACTCCTGACCTCAGGTGATGTGCCTGCCTCGGCCTCCCAAAGTGCTGGGATTACAGGTGTGAGCCACCATGCCTAGCTGAAATACTTCAGTATGTTTTCCTTCTCTAGATTTTTTTTTTTCTATTCTAGTTCCCATGTGGAAGTGCACATAAATTTTGGATTATTAGCTTAGAAAATATTTAACAATTGCATAATGTTTCGATTTGAAAAACTCAATTATCTACTTTCTATAGTATTTGCAATTTTCATGTTTATCTTAAAACATACAGTTGATGTCTACCTATTTTTCTTTTGTAACATCAACACATAAAACAATGTATTTATTTTTAAAAAGTAGCATCTAAATGCTACTTTTAGAAAAGTAAAATGGCATATCCAGTCTATGGATTACAATGTAGTAATTAAAAATAAGCTGAACAGTTCATTATACAGTATTGTGTTCTAAGAGATGATAGATGGAATTATATATATAAAACCATATATAATTATAATGTAATTTTGAGTGAAGAAAGTGAGTTACAGGATAATACAGACACAATTATAACACAACTAAAACATTAATTTACAAATAAATAATGTATAGGTGCATATGAATGTACATAAATGCGTAGAAAAAGATATGGAAGAACATATACCAAACTGGTAAAAGTTATATTTATTTTTGAGTGGGGCAGAGGAAAGAGAGATGCCAGTAGAGCTGGAGAGGAAGGACTGGTTGTGAGACATATTCAGTAATCAAAAGGGGTCCTTGGCCTTATTTGTACTTTTTTCAATAATTAGAATTTACTCAGATATTGCTTCAACAACTAATTTTTAAATTAAAATGAATCTATGAGAATTATTTGAGAGAACCTTAATCTTTCCTATAAAATTGTTATATCAATTTTACATTATATATATGTAATTTGTCTTTTATATATAACATATATACATAAATTTTTGTGTATGTGATTTTAAATGATGTGGTTATAATTTCTAAAAGGACAAATCCAATGCCTTGTCACTCGAGTTATGGTCCTCAGTCCCGTACAATCAGTAATATTTGGCGACTTAGAAATGCAGTATCTCTGTCCCCAACTTTAGACAGGCTGACTCACAATCTACATTTTATTAGAAATTCCAGGTGATTTGTAGGCATATGAAGTTTAAGAAGCAGCATTCTAGGGAATTCTCTCTGGCATGAGATTGACCTGCTGATACACAACCCCAAATGACCACCTTCTCTCAACCTCTTGTCATGTCATTTAGTCCTGAAAGTGTAGTTAAGTATTGTATTGATCATCTTGATACATCAACATCAGGGACCTTCTGAAACACCACTTGTTCCTTCTGTTTGCAGTCTTTCCACTTGAAAAGATATATAGTCTCTCATGTATACTTGCTTATTCTGAGATACGATCGGTTAAACCAACTTGAATTCAGGATTAGGAGCACCCAGAACTCTGAATATTTCTCCACCAACCAATGATCAGTGATTGTGCTCCTCAGAGTACTCTGTGAGGCGCTCAATAATTCATGTAAAATGTGATTTGAGTCAGTGCAAGGCTATTGATAGTTTTGCCTGACTTAAGGTTTAAATGGGCATCTGGGCAAAGTAAAGTGCTTTCAAATCAAACATCAATCAGACACCTGGTCCACTTCAGCATTCTTAAAGAAATCATTAATGGCATAGACCAAGGTTTCTCCACCTTGGCACTATTGACGTTTTGGGCCAGATAATTCTCTGCTGTAGAGACTGTCCTTTGTGTTATAGGATGTTTAGCAGTGTTCCTGGCCTCCATTCAGCAGATGCCAGTAGCACTCCCCTCCAGCTGTGAAAGCCAACAATGCTCCCTGGAAACCCCAGTTGAAAACAGCTGCCATGGGTAAATAAGATTTCATCTTTTGTCATCATATTGATATCACCAGGCTTTACATCTGTAACTGAGAAACAACCTTCCCATTTTAGATATAAAGAACCTGAAATAGGCATTTTAAGCAATATGTATTAAAAATGCCTTCTAAGTTCCCTAACTAGCCAATTTCATATATTATATGTTGCTTCTAAAATACCATTATTCCATATTGATTCATTAACTGTTTTCTAATTTCCTGCAAAATTTCCCCTCCATTTTAATTTTTTCATTTACTTTTTTTCCTCTCATTACATTTTCTACTCTTTTTGTCCTCTTCTTAGTCCATACACATTTATCTTTTCTAATATAGTCATATTTAATTTTATGAATTTTTACCAATATCATTGTAGGTCTCTTTTTTTACTCTTTAAATTGGCGTTTTTGGAACCGCTAATATTTGCCTCTACTCACTAACCAAACAAAGAATGAGAGCCCAGTAACACAGGAGATGACAGCAAGACAAGCTGGCACAAACTAAACTCCCCTAGAATACAATGAAATCAACATATCTGAAAAGGATTAAAAATAATAAGTTTCAGGACAATTTCAAATACTGTTTCACACTTTTGAATTAAAGATAATGGAGTGAGAAATGGAATATGTACTCAAGGAGGTACCAAATTCTTCTGTTAGGCTTGTCACATTTTCTTCTGCAAAATAAGGTGTATAAAGTAAGCATTTTTTGTATGTTATCGGTAGCATTAATGTGAAAAGTATAAGCTTTATTGCTAACCATTTGAGATGCAAGGAAGCTCTCTCTGCCACAGAAATTGGATGACCATGTGGGTTGACAGCTCCCTTGTGTTATAAAATAATGCAAACAATATTTTTTCACCCCAAACAAAATTGGTTAAAATTACATTTTTCCCAAGTCATATGGAAATGCACTAATTTGTAACTTTCTAAAGCCAACACATTTATGCTTCAGAGATACATAATTTAGTAACAAACAGCAGACTGAATTTTGATCAGGTTTTAAAAATGGGTACAATAGCCTTCTCCGACTTCAAATGAGCTTAGAAAACTCTCTTGGTATTCTCTCCCTCATGAAATTGTAAGGGTAACATTCCCTTTAATTTTTTTTTTAGCAATACTCAGTGAGAAAAAGTGAAAAGGTCTTGCATATTTGTATGATACATAAAGGCTCCAATGATTAAAACAGCCTTCAGATTTAATAGCAAGCATTTTACTTTAAAGGCAATCATTCCCCAAGAACCTAGAGAAACACCACATTATTGGGCTTTTCTTTTTGGAATTGATGGCTACATTATATAAGGAAGGTAATGTAAAGCATGATAACAAGCAGTTCTGATAGAAAAAAACAGTAATGAGAGTTTTTTCTTCCTCTTTTTTTTTAAGAAGCAAAAGATCATCTGGAATCTCATTATTATAAAAGCGGAAGACCACCACATAATGTGCTGATCTTCCAACTAACAGCAAAATATACTCATAGACTTGTAAAGAAAAGGCAACCTTGATAAAAAAAAATCTATCTTCTTTCTAAATGATTTTATAGGGTTATAAACAGATTGACAAGGCAAGGATCAAGTATGACACAAAGTATTATCAACGTGATTCAAACCATCTATAGTAATAAAACAAACCAACTGAAAGTATTCCCATGAGTACTAGGCACCTGTTTTTCTATTTCTCTTCCTTATCATTACTGTTTATTTTTCAATGTACTTATTATTGAAGGATGATAGCAGATTTGGACATAACTCATATTTTCTTGTTGCCAGTTAATATTTTTTAAATTCTGGTGACATTCTTGGCTATTGATGGGGGAGGCTAACCTACTGGTCAAAAAAGAGTAAATTTATACTTATGCAACTATATATTTTCTATTTAGTAGGCTTTGTAAGTCCTGGAGGTTTATTTCCTTAAGTAAGTTGAAAAAAGTACCAAACTGAGCAAATCTTATGAAATAATTTTTATTTTCATTACTGCTCATGAGACTTCAGCAGGATTTGTGCTGTTTCATTTAATTATTAGCAGGTAAGGAGCAAAGCAGGGATCCCATGTGAATTGTCTTCCAAGCTTCCTCACTGATTCTCATTTTAAACATGTAAACCTATTTAATGACAGGATTGTGATATTGGTTAACTGTGATTTTGATTCTGTAATTGTGTAGAAAATCATATTTGCATATTTTTTATAAGCCAGTTTGAAGTTCTGAGATGCTGACTGGAGTCAACCGGATTGTACGTAGAAAGAAAAAAAAAGCCCTATATGGGAGATGATAGGCTTCAGAATATCTATCCAGTACCCATTTGTGATATCCCTAAAGTAGCATAATTACTAGGAATAAACATAGTTTGTAGTGACTGCCAAAGGACAAAGTGAAAATTTCTTATTTTATTTCAATCAGATAAAAACAAAATTTAAAAATGTATGTTTTCCTACATATAGCATAAACATTGAAATACATACATCTTTAAAAGCATTCAGAATGTAAAGTATCGCATTTATTTTTGATGATTTAGAAAGCTTTCTGATTGACATCATTTGCTTTCATAATAAGTCTATTAATAAGGTTTCATTTAGTTAAAAGTGACATCAATCACCTCAAATGTGGCATAAGGGAAATGAAAAACAAGTTACTGATTCACTCAAAAAACTCAAGGATAATGACAGTTCGGGGTTTTGCTGTACTCACGTCTCCAAATGTCA
Source organism: Homo sapiens (assembly GCF_000001405.40). NCBI lineage: Eukaryota > Metazoa > Chordata > Mammalia > Primates > Hominidae > Homo > Homo sapiens. The sequence continues at coordinate 165,092,060 of NC_000005.10, forward strand.
TCAGAAATCTATTCCTCTCTACCACTCACTGTTTTGTTTCGTGTCTTATCATATTGGTTATATTCTAAGAAGAGCATCCTCCAAGTTCATCAGCAGTGAACTCTAAGCTTGAATCCAGTAGACTAAAGAACACTTCATTACAGGAAGTCCTGTCATGGGTTCGAATTGGTCCTGAACAAGCCACATGCCAACTCATGACACTGGACGAATGGTTCTCAAAGTGTGGGGCAACAGAGGTGGTGGAGGGGAGGGCAATTTTGGCAATGTCTGGAGACATTTTCTGTTGCTACAACAGGGAAGCAGGTTTCTGCTGGAATTTAGTGGGTGGAGGCTAGAGATGCTGCTAAACATCTTGCCATGCATAGAACCATCCTACAACCCCACAACACAGAAGTATCCAGTCCACAATATCAATATCAATAGGATGAGGTTGAGAAATTCTGTAATAGTTGTAGCTCAGTTATTGCTGATCTATAATGAGCTGTAGAGGACAGCAGTAATGTAGATGTAGCCAAGGACACCATGATGCTGTCCTCAGAAGAAAGGGCAGTAAATGCTGAACAGTCAGCAATTCATGTCAATAAGAGGGAGTATATTTTGCTTCTAATCCATGAGTAGGGAAATTTAAAAAAAAATCAAAATTTCGACAATGAATTTTTATCTCAAGTATAATTGACAAAGATGATTTTTCTGTTTTTATTTAAACTCATCATAGTTTACTCTTGTTTCAGTTCCTGATGTTAGATAAATAATTTGCATTTTGCTAAGTTGACTTTAGTCAGAAATTCTGCACTATTAAGTCAGCTCAGAACCTGACATTCATATTTTAAGCAAAATATGAAGTATTTTTTAAATTATCTTATTTATAGCTATTTTATTAGGTCAAATATTATGGCAGAAAATAATTTTATAATCAGAAAGGGGGAAATCTACTTAAGTGGTAAATTCTAGTTGTCTTCTTTCACATTTTTATTTTGATTTTTTGGTAATTCAAAGATGGTATGCTAATTTATTTTGATCTTATTAGATTAAATTGAACATTATTTATAAAATAGGTTATTGGTGTTAATAAGAAATGATTATAGCACTTTAGATTTATTTATTTAAATATTTTAGGTATTTTATTTTGCAATTACTCTATGTTGGCTTGAAACATCCTCATTCAAATATTTCAAAAACAAATGTTATATTTTCTCTTCTCCAGATTCATTAAGGAAAGAGAAAAAAATTAAGAAAAAAAATGCTGATGTTGAAGATTATTGGCACTGTTTTGTGTGTGTGTGTGTGTGTGTGTGTGTGTGTGTGAGTGAGTATGTGTGTGTTCAAGAAGCTCATCATGCAGTTCTATGAAGCAGGAAAGGTTTAATCCCCCAAACCAGGAACAAGAGCAGAGGAAACTCACCCCTCTAAAAGTAAATGCTAAATTATCACTTGTTTTATGGTCAGATGTGAGCGTACATATATGTGCGCTCATATCTGACCATCAATCAGACCCTCAAGCTCACCTCCAGGAAAGTTGAAAGAGTGCATCTCACAGGAGAGGAAAATGCATTTAAAATTGCTGCAGCCATAAAATAAACTGACATAACCCAAAGCCACAAATAATGGAAGAAAAAAATCCTTCTGGGGTTCTGTCTCCTTCAGCAAATATTTTGACTTTCTGTTTTTATTTCTTGTCAGTGATCCTGGGTGTGTTTGAAATGACATAAAATGCATTCATTATGCCCCCAGATTCTAACCGCTTTAGCCTTTCTTGTTCATCCCTCAAGAAAATGCAGACTTCTGGAATAGAGAGCAGATACAGAAGCAAAATGACAACCCTTGTAGGATGCTTAGTGCCTTAAAAAAAAATCCAAGCAATTTTCTCTATTGCATCATGCCTGAAAAGTAACTTAATTCCTCTGTTATGATTAAAGTTGATTGATTGAATTGATCTGCAATGCATCCTGTTTCCCTAGTTTACAAAGATGCTCAGGAAAAGTAAGGAAGCTGTCTGAACAGGATCCAAGTGCTTAATATATGCTGAGGTCCCACTTAACATTTATTATCTGTTATCGAAGGTAGGAGAAAAGCATGTAAATTATATGGATGTCTCTGATTCAAGGAAAGGGAAAGATAAATACTTATGCAGATGCTCAGTCATTTTCATCAGCCATTTTCTAAAACATAGCCTATCTTTTTTTAGACTTACCAGTAACTTTGTAAGAAGCTCTTTCCATTGCTTGTAAGTTAACCTATTTTTACTTAACCATTGCTTACATTAGCAAAGAAATCCAACAAAACTTGACGCTCAAGGTTGTTGTGCAATAGATGTAATTTGCAGAAAAAATCAGAACCTTAAGAAATCTGGAGGACTTTAAAATGATTCTCTTCATGAGTACTTTTTTCCAAACAGATGTAAAAGAATAAAAGAAAGAAGAGAATCATTAGCAAATATACCATAAGATTTTGGGTGGGTATAAAAGTGAGGCAATAATTTTCTGTGTCTGCTGAACAGGTATGCTTTTGAGGTACAGAATTTACAAAGAATCTACCACTAAGTACACAAACTTTTTTATAAGTACACAATTTTTAGTATTCAGGGGAAAATGTGTTAGAATACAGCAAACTATTGAGTGGCAAATTATAGCTTAATTTGCTTATACGAAACACCTTCCCCTTGACCAAGTTAGAGATCTAGTGCCAATTTTTTGACTGACTTACTTGTATTTATGATATTATTAATCATATGGTGCCTAACATTAAAATAGAATGTGAAATAAGCTTATAGAAGACAGAAATTTTTAAAATTTTCTTGAGTACTGGAATACTCTTTAGGGTGCTGTGTTTGGAGAGTCAGATATCTGCATAATTGCTTTTTCTTGTTCTCACAAGAAATAGATTATTTAAATAATATTTAAATGAATATTTAAATAAAATTTAAATAAATATTTAAATAAATAATGTTTAAATAATATTTAAATAAATAAATAATATTTAAAATAGATTATCTTTATTTTAAAAATCCAAATCTGCAGGTTTTAGTCTTTGTCGCAGCATCCCTATAAACCTGTTATAGGTGTCATATACTAATAATATTAAGTAAAATAATTATAACAATTTAAAAAAGAATATCAATACAACAGTTAATAACTGTGAACTATTCATGTGGTAATCATCATCTTAAGTCCATTGTAATGACTAACTTATTTAACCCCTAATACCATCAACACTTCATTTTATAAACTAGAAAAGTAAGACACGAAGAAGTATAATACCAGCACTTTGGGAGGCTGAGGCAGGCGAATCAGTAGAGGTCAGGAGTTTGAGATCAGCCTGGCCAACATGGTGAAACCCTGTCTCTACTTAAAAGTACAGAAATTAGTTGGTTGTGGTGGCCGACGCTTGGAATCCCAGCTACTTGGGAGGTTGAGGCAGGAGAATCACTTGAACCCTGGAGGCAGGGGTTCCAGTGAACTGAGATAGCACCATTGCACTCCAGCCTGGGCGACAGATTGAGAATTTGCCTCACAAAAAAAAAAAAAAACAAAGTAATTTCCTCACTCTCCTGGAGTTTGCTTCCTCTCTCTCTGACCCCAAGCTAGTTTTCAATTGGAGAATTGCTTGACTTCCACAGCATATGGGCTATTATGTAGCAAAACAAACAAACAAACAAACAAAAACAACTAGAGATTTTGTTTTTTGTTTTACATTGCCTCAGGGCCTCAACAACAAAGAAATGAATACTGAAAAAATGAAACTATTTTCAAAAGTTTAGACCTTTCCAACAACTTCCTTTCCATTTTGTCCTTTCTATCTCAAATTCAAAAGTTTCAAATTCAAAATTCAAATACTCTTTGAATATATGTGGCCACTTCTGCTGAAACCTGCCAATAATATTGCAAGTAAAAGCTATGCATTTAGGGTTGCCAGATATAATACAGGGCATTCAGCTAAACTTGAATTTTAGAGAAAGTTTAATATAAGTATTTCCCATGCAATATTTTGGACATACTTATACTATTAAATTATTTTCTGTTCATCTGAAATTCAAATGTAACTGGTCATCCTACATTTTTAATTTCTACTAAATTGTGCTTTAAATGCTAACTCTGGCAACAAGATTTAATAGCATTACAAGTTTCTCTTTCAGAGATGTAGATTTTCATTATTAATATACTCAGTCTGACATTAAAACTGCATTTCTTTACATTAACTTTCTAGAATTCTGTTACTTAAATATGATAGATAGCTTTATTCCATCTAATACATGAGCTCTTCATTGCCATATTATATCTGCCTGCCTGCCTGCCTTTATTTCTTCCCTCCCTCCTAAATTTACTATTTTATTCTATTCTTTGCAATATAATTTTGCATTTCATCTAAGTGTAAGCTTATTTTGGGGTTAAACATTCCCAATCTGCCCCATGCCCCAGCAAAGTAAAAAGATGTTGTATATTTTATTTATGTGACAATTATCTTAAAATTTCTCAGCTTTTTAAAGTATGACATTGTATTAGTCTGTTTTCATGCAGCTAATAAAGACGTACTCAAGACTGGGAAGAAAAAAGAGGTTTAATTGGACTTATAGTTCCACATGGCTGGGGAGGCCTCAGAATCATGGTGGGAGGTGAAGGGCACTTCTTACATGGCGATGGCAAGAGAAAATGAAAAAGCAAAAGCAGAAACCCCTGGTAAACCCATCGGATCTTGTGAGGCTTAATTCACTATCAGGAGAATAGCACAGGAAAGAGAGGCCCCATGATTCAGTTAGCTCCCCCTGGGTCCCTCCCACAACATGTGGGAATTCTGGGAGATACAATTCGAGTTGAGATTTGGGTGGGGACAGAGCCAAACCATATCATTCTGCCTCTGATCCTCCATATCTCATGTCCTCAAATTCCAAAACCAATCATGCCTTCCCAACAGTCCCCCAAAGTCCTAACTCATTTCAGCATTAATCCAGAAGTCCACAGTCCAAAGTCTTATCTGAGAAAAGGCAAGTCTCTTCTGCTTACGAGCCTGTAAAATCAAAAGCAAGCTAGTTGCTTCCTAGATACAGTGGGGGTACAGGTATTGGGTAAATACAGCCATTCCAAATGGGAGAAATTGGGCAAAACAAAGGGGCTGCAGGGCCCATGCAAGTCCAAAATCCAGCATGGCAGTCAAATCTTAAAGGTCCAAAATGATCTCCTTTGACTCCATGTCTTACATCCAAGGCACACTGATGCAAGGGGTGGGTTCCCATGGTCTTGGGCAGCTCCATCCCTGTAGCTTTGCAGGGTACAGCCTTCTTCCCAGCTGCTTTCATGGGCTGGCATTGAGTGTCTGTGGCTTTTCCAGGTGCACGGTGCAAGCTGTTGGTGGATCTACTATTCCAGGATCTGGGGGACTGTAGCCCTCATGGCCCACTAGGCAGTGCCCCAGTAAGGGACTCTGTGTGGGGACTCCGACCCCACATTTCCCTTCTGCGCTGCCCTAGCAGAGGTTCTCCATGAGGGCCCCACCCCTGCAGTAAATTTTGCCTGGGCATCTATACATCTACTAAAATCTAGGCGGAGGTTCAAAAACCTCAGTTCTTGACTTCTGTGCCCCCACAGGCTCAACACCATGTGGAAGCTGCCAAGGATTCGGGCTTGCCCCCTCTGAAGCAACAGCCCAGGCTCTATGTTGACCCCTTTCAGCCACGGCTGGTGCATGTGGGACACAGGGCACCAATTCCCTAGGCTGTGCACAACATGGCGACCCTGGGGCCAGCCCACAAAACCACTTTTTCCTCCTGTGCCTCTGGGTCTGTGATGGGAGGGGCTTCCATGAAGGTCTCTGATATTGCCCGGAGACATTTTCCCCCTGGTCTTGGGGATTAACATTAGGCTTCTTGCTACTTATGCAAATTTCTGCAGCCAGCTTGAATTTCTCCTCGAAAAAATGGGTTTTTCTTTTCTACTGCATCATCAGGCTGCAAATTTTCTGAGCTTTTATGGTCTGTTTCCCTTTAAAGTTGAATGGTTTTAACAGCACCCAAGTCAGCTTATGAATGCTTTGCTGCTTAGACATTTCTTCCACTAGATACCCTAAATCATCTTAAGTTCAAAGTTTGACAAATCTCTAGGGCAGGGGCAAAATGCTGCCAGTCTCTTTGCTAACAAGAGTCTTCTTTTCTCCAGTTCCCAAGAAGTTCCTCATCTCCATCTGAGACCGCCTCAGCCTGGACCTTGTTGTTCATATCACTATAGCATTTTTGTCAAAGCCATTCAACAAGTCTCTAGGAGATTTCAAACTTTCCCACATTTTTCTGTCTTCTTCTGAGCCCTCCAAACTGTCCCAATCTCTGCCTGTTACCCAATTCCAAAGTTGTGTCCACATTTTTGGGTATCTTTTCAGCAATGCCCCACTATATTGGTACAAATTTACTGTATTAGTCTGTTTCCATGACGCTGATAAAGACATACTGAGAGTGGGAAGAAAAAAAAGTTTAACTGGACTTGTAGTTCCACATGGCTGGGGAGGCCTCAGAATCATGGCAGGAGGCAAAAGGCACTTCTTACATGGTGGCAGCAAGAGAAAATGAGGAAGAAGCAAAAGGAGAAACCCCTCAGATCTCACGAGGCTTAATTCACTATCACAAGAATAGCATGGGAAAGACCAGCCCCCATGATTCACTTACCTCCCTATGGGTCCCTCCCATAGCATGTGCTAATTCTGGGAGATACAATTCAAGTTGACATTTGGGTGGAGACACAGCCAAACCATATCAGACATAGTACTAAATATTTCAGTAATTTCTCCCTCTTTATTGTGGTAAGAACATTTGACATGAGATCTACCCTTTTAACAAATTTTTAAGTGCACAATACAGTATTGTTAACTATCAGTTCAATGTTGCACGGTAAAAGTTTAGAACTTATTCGTTTTCATAACTGAAACTTTATGCCCATTGTACAGCAACTCCTCATCCCTCTCTCACCCCTCAACCCCTAGCAGTGACCATTCTACTCTCTGTTTCTACGAGTTTGAATATTTTAGATACCTTATATAAGTGAAATCATGCAGCACATACTCTTCTGTGACAGGCTTATTTCCAGAGTCATCCAAGCAGTTGCATATGGCAGGATTTTCTTCTTTTTCAAGGCTGAATAATATTTCATTTGTATGTATATGCCACATTTTCTTTATCCATTCGTCTGTCACTGGACTTGGCTCTTTCCATAACTTGGCTATTATGAATAATGCTGCAGTGAACATAAGAGGAGATTAAGAAGATTTGACTGTTTTCTTTTTAGTCTATTGCTGGAATATTTTGTCCATTAATGAAGAGTCATTACTTTCACCCTAGAAACATGCCCTTCCAGCATTTATATCAACATTTTACAGGCAAACCAGCCTTTTTTTTTTTTTTTTAAAGTAGGGTCTACAGGCCTGACACAAATCCAAAATCCAGCTTTAAGTCAAATTTTAAAGCTCCAAAATGATCTCGTTTGATTCCATGTCTCACATTCAGGTTACACTGTTGTTAAGAGATGGGTTCCCATGGTCTTGGGCAGCTCCACCCCTTTGGCTTTGCAGGGTACAGCCCCGCTCCTAGCTGCTTTCCCAGGCTGGCATTGAGTGCCTGCAGCTTTTCCAGGCACATGGTGTAAGCTGTCAGTAGATCTAACTTTCTAGCATATGAAGGATGCCTGCCCTCTTCTAATAGGCACAGCTCTAATAGGCAGTGCCCCAGTGGGGACTCCTTGTGGGGGCTCTGACACTACATTTCCCTTCTGCATTACCCTAGCAGAGGTTCTACATGAGGGCCCCACCCCTGCAGCAAACTTTTACCTGGACATCCAGGCATTTTCAAACATCCTCTGAAATCTAGGTGGAGGTTCTCAAACCTCAATTCTTAACTTCTTTGAACCTGCAGGCTCAACACCTTGTGGAAGCTGCCAAGGCTTGGAGCTTGTACTCTGAAGCCATGGCCTGAGCTGTACCTTGGCCCCTTTTACCTATGGCTGGAGTGGCTGGGATGTAGGGCACCAAGTTGCTAGGTTGTACACAGCACTAGGGACTGTGTGCCCAGCCCACAAAACCATGTTTTTCTCCTAGGCCTCTAGTCCTGTGATGGGAGGGGCTGCTCTGACATGCCCTGGAAACATTTTCCTCATTGTCTTGGTTATTAACATTTGGCTCCTCGTTACTTATGCAAATTTCTGCTGCCAGCCTTAATTTCTCCCCTGAAAATGGGTTTTTCTGTTTTACTCCATTGTCATCTGAAAATTGTTCAAAATTTATGCTTTGCTTCCTCTTGAACATTTTGCTGCTTAGAAATTTTTTCTACCAGATACCTAAGTCATCTCTCTCAAGTTCAGAGTTCCATAGATCTCTAGGGCAGGGGTAAAATGCCATCATTGTCTTTGCATAGAAGAGTGACCTTCACTCCAGTTACCAAAAAGCTCCTCGTCTCCTTCTGAGACCACCTCAGCCTGGACTTCATTGTCCATATCAGTATCAGCATTTTGTTCAAAGCCACTCAACAAGTCTCTAGGAACTTCCATACTTTCCCACATCTTCCTGTCCTCTGAGCCCTCCAAGTATCTAGGAAGTTCCAAACTTTTCCACATTTTCGTATCTTCTTCTGACCCCTCCAAACTGTTCCAACCTCTACTCCTTACCGAGTTCCACAGTCACTTCCACATTTTTGGGGTATCTTTACAGCAGCACCCCCCACCTGGTACCAATTTACTGTATTAGTCTGTTCTCACCCTGCTAGTAAAGATATACTCAAGACTGGGGAATTTATAAAGGAAAGAGGTTTAATTGACTCACAGTTTCACATGGCTAGGGAGATTTCACAATCATAGCAGAAGGTGAATGGAGAACAAAGTCATATCATATATGGCGGCATGCAATAGAGCATATGTAGGGGAGCTCCCCTTCATAAAACCATCAGATCTCATTAGACTTATTCAGTATCATGAGAACAGCACATGAGAGACCACCCCCATGATTCAATTGACTCCCAATAGGTTCTTCCCATGACACGTGGGAATTATGGAAGTTACAATTCAATATGAGATTTGGGTGGGGACACAGCCAAACCCTATCATCTATCAATTGGAGCAAGCCACCAAGCAGATGATTGTGAACTTTTGTGCCCTCACAAAGAAATTGAAGTGAAGTGTAAGAATGCTTTTGGCTATAAATAGAAGAAAATCCAGATTCAGTGGACTTAAGCAAGGAAAAAATGTGTATACAATAAGAAATTGAGGATTGGTGAATTCCATAGCTACATTATATCACCAATATTTTTTTCTGTCTTATATTCAAAATTCCAGTTTGTGCAGCTTTGATTCCATGCTAGCAATCCTCCTGGTGTAGGCATCACATATAGATGCAACAGTTCCCAGTAGAAAAAGAGGATTATCTTTTTTTTTTTTTTTTTTTTTTTTTGAGGTGGAGTTTTGCTCTGTCACCCAGGCTGGAGTGCAGTGGTGCGATCTTGGCTCACTGCAGGCTCTGCCTCCTGGTTTCTCGTCATTCTCCTGCCTCAGCCTCCCAAGAAGCTGGGACTACAGGCGCCCGCCACCAAGCCTGGCTAATTTTTTGTATTTTTAGTGGAGACGGGGGTCTCACTGTGTTAGCCAGGATGGTCTCGATCTACTGACCTCAAGATCTGCCTGCCTCGGCCTCCGAAAGTGCTGGGATTACAGGCGTGAGCCACCATGCCCGGCCAATTATCTCTCATTTTTAATACCTTTTCTTTATTTAATTGCTTAATTCACAAGGGAAAGTTGTATATATTTATAGTGTACAATATGATGTTTTGATGCATGTATACATTGTGAATGGCCATATGAAGCCATTTAACATATGCATTACCTCAGATACTTATTTTCTGTGGTGAGAACACACAATTTCCTCTTAGCAAGTTTCAAGGTCAGAATATAGTGTTTCACTTTCTTTTCAAAATGGGAATATATTTCTCAGCAATGTCCCAGCAGACATTCCTTTTCTGTTACTGATCAGAAATGTCCATTGTTCTTGCTTACATCAAACATTTAAAGGGAATGGTTTAGGTTGACTTTTGTATTAACCAGGACATGAAAGGCAACCATATCTGTGCTGACCATTTAGGGCAGTCACCTGGACAAATTGCCATTTTCTCATCAGGAGAAAAGTGGATATGCAATCACTAGTGTTACTGTGGATAATGCTGGAGGATAAAGAAAACAATGGTCAGTTTTATAGAAAAGATGCTGGTAATGGTGAAACTATCACAATAATTGCTTGGTCTTCATATTGTTAACCTATAGCACCCAGGAGGAAAACTTCCTCTGGCTTAACTGTAAACGAAATACAATTTCTAACTAATCTTTTTATTTTTCTTCATTTCTTAAAGAGCACAGGAATGACAGCAGTTCTGTGAGTTTTTGCTTCTAGCCAGAGTAAACTATCACATGGTCAGTGAGTGCTCCATTTAAGTATTCTCCAGAAAGTAAATTCATTGTCCAGGAGGCCTAAGGGCTTTTGATTAAATTCTAGCACTCCTGTTTTGCAAAAACTTAAACCCTTACTTGGCTACTTTTCTCAGTCAGAATTTTTGTTGTTGTTATTGTTCCCAAATCAGTGACAGATTTTATTAACATCAATTAGGAGCTATTGTGAGGCTTTAAAATATGAAGTACTGAAACCATTAGTTACTATTGCACTGTCAAAAGTATTTCCCTTAAAACTGATAGAGCACAAGGGGCCATTGGTAATTTAAAATTATTTTTAATAAAAGAATTAAACCAATCTTATATCTTCTTTCACTTTTATTATAGCCCCCCTGCCTCTGTGTTCCAGGGGTATATAGAAATTACATTTCTACAATCTGTATTTATTTTTAAAATGTAATTCTTCAGTATACACCTGTCTTTAGTAAAATGTGGGAAATGCTTTGCCTGAATCCCTTCATAATTATTGTAGTGTTGTCATTCCTTTTATATCTTGATGGGATGGGATGATTTCTAAGGTGACTTTCAATGTGGCAAATTTGAAACTCGTGGAATCTATATTGTAATATTTAATTTAATAACGCCATTTAATTCTATGGCATCTTTCCTTTTTATGTTACAATATTTAAGATTGAGCATATTGTAAATAAAAAAGATTTGACTTTTTGAGGGGAAGCAGCTTTATTGAGACATAATTCACATACTACACAATTCATCCATTTAAAGTGCACAGATAGATGTTCTTAGTATATTCATAGAGTTACACAATCTAAATCACGATAAATTGTAGAACATTTTTATCTCTTGCCCCCAGAATCCTACATGATACCCATTAGAAGTCACTTCCATTTGCCCGCAATACCCCCAGTCCTAGGCAACCAATATTCCACTATTTATCTCCAGAAATTGGCTTGTTCTGGACATTTTATAACAGTGGAATCATACAATATGTGGTCTCTTGTTACCAGCTCCTTTCATTGAGCATAATATTTTCGAGATTCTTTCATGGTGTGCCATGTATCAGCACTTTTCTTATTTTCAAATAATATTCCCTTGCATAGATATAATATGGCCCTTTTTAATACATGCCTTCTCAAAGTGATTTAAATATACTATAATATTAGGATAACAAAATTCAAGTTTGAAATAAAAATTGAACATTATGAAACAATTTCTGCAATCTAGATCGACATCCTCCTGCCCTGTATAACCCATCTCATTTAATAAAATGGGACTGGAAAAAATATGCTGGAAATTGGGGACATCTGGATGTAACAAAATTATTATGTACTTTATTGAAATTATTAATATTGCCCATTTTTCTCCATTACTTGCTGTCTGCTCATAAGTGACACTTAGCACAGGCATTTCAAACAGAATATATTTTACTTTGCAATACTGTAAATTCCCATTCTTACACAAAACAGTTTATCAGTCTCTTTGTCTCTTCTAGCCTATCCAGACTATGTCCATAGGGCCTTGTCCTTATAACAAATATACCTGTTAAAGGTATATTCACAAACAATGGCATCTCTGTTGTTGAGAAAAATTATGTAAATATTCAAGTAATTTCTTATCACTATCATGTATATCGGGGTAAGTACCTATTTGTCATCATCTCTCTCTCAAAAAATATATATGTATATATATATATGAAAATATGATCGAGTTGGCAAGTATTTAAGTTTTCATTTCCTCTTTAAATGAAAGACTAATAACCCACTCAATAAACTAAAAAATATGGCAGGAGCAAGACAGAAAGTAAAGACTGAGACATGTAATTTTTGGCAAAGTTATAAACTCTACTGTTTCAGAAAATATTTATTTTTAAAACTGAAGGAGAATAGGAGAAAAGTCATAGGCAAAGATGTAAAATGTCCGAGTTGTAAAGTATGAGGTAATCCAGAGAAACTTCAAGAAACAGATATATAAGTCGATAGACAGACAGATATAGAAACCATAGCAGAGAAGTGCCCAGAATTGAGAGGCGTGAATTATTAGATGAAAATGTACTGCAACAGTCCGGCAAGAAAAATACAAATAAGTGCATGCCTTGGTGCTTTACAGTAAATGCTGTTAAGCCACAAGTCATATAACAGTAAATTACGTAAAATAAAGTAGATATACATGTAACAATATATTTAAATTCCAAAAAAGATGCCAAATAAACAAAAGGTTGCCTAATGATACTATAGCATGAAAATATTTACAAAAAGCTTAAGAGCACAAAAAATGTAACGTGTTTCTGGTTAAACTATAAAAATAAGGCATCAGGAATATAAACAAGTTATTGGCAATGGTTATCTCTGGGGCGAAATCAAGAATAACGGTATTAAAGAGGAGAGGACTTTATCTGTCATCATTTTAGTCTTTGAAAGTATTGGCAAACTATAAAAACATTTAAAATCTGGGTGGTTGCATATGGGAATTTTCTTTATCATGTTTAAGTTTGGCAATTTCATCATGAACAAAATTCTAAAAAATAAAAAATGGACAGAGATTGGAGTGTTGCTTACAGATTGTGGCCTTTTAGATCACTTCTTTAACCTTTCTATGGCCCAAGTTTCTAGTTTGTAAAATAATAATGTTAATTGAACATACATAAAAAAGTGAGGGTTATTGTATCATGACACATCGTACAAAGCAGTTCATAAACATTAGTCAACATTATTTTTTACAGGCAATACAATATAAAGCATTGTGTATATAGCACTGTGAGAAGCACAACCGACCAAACAAGAAGGAAGCAAAGCTTTACCCAAAAAGCATATAAGGCATAGGTTGACTAAGACGAGAATTATTTGCATTTTATAGCTCAATAAAAAATAGTCAATAAACAATAATTGCCAAATCTTACATGATTTTGGTACCCCATGTAAACAGAACAAATCTCTCCTGCTTCCTTACTTAAAACGAAGCAAAATAAAACAAAAAGTTTAAGTATTCTTCTATGGATCGAGTGTATATATTATTTTATCTGAATGACATGTGGAATGTAAAGAGAAAAGATAGAGAATGCCTATCCCAACGATTTTATTGATTGGATATGTCATTTATTCTTCATCTCATTGAGTAATTTTTCTCCCTCCTTGGGACTGATATTTCACAAATGTAGCTTAGAATGAATTCCTACAGCATTTGTTCATAATGAACAAATGCCTAATTTGTGAACAAATGCCTACTTATGAATTCCTGTCTCAGAAGCTAATTTAATTGGTGCATTCCAACTACTATTGCTTATTTCACACTTCAGTAGGTAAAGATGCATTAATAATCGAAGTTTCGAACTATAATTAACATTAGCTTTAGGCTCCTGACAATGAAATGATTACATTTTAATGTATGGGTTGATAAAGTTAATCTAACATATGAATAAACAGCGAAAATAACTTACATTTACTCTTTCTCTGCAAATTGATACATGCATTTGTGTGTTATCTAAACCATGGGGAATAAGGGAATGTCAAAGAAAAAGTGAATAAATGGCTACCAACACAACACCTAAACCTAATCCATTCAGTGCGCTAAACTGAATTTGAGACATTCCAACAAAAACATTATTTTCTAGTAAAACTTAAGCAATGTTTTTAGCCTTGCTTTTCTTTCACATTTTTCTATATAATTGAATTATGTTTTTTATCTTATTTCACTCTGTACCTAATTGAGCTGATTACTTTATAAGGATCCCTGAATGATGAATGTTTATGTTAATATCTTGTTTTTAAGCAGAGCATACCATATCGTTCAAATGTACTTGCTGGGTATTATTACATTCGTGTTGATAAAGATTGTGTTTGTGACATAACTTTAAGTGAAGAAAAATGCATTCTTGACTCTATCCTTCCTTCGGTGATATTTTCTGGACCTTTTAATTTTTAATTGACAGCATTCAGAATGGTGCAAATCTGAATAACTGAGGTTGCTAATTGTGGTACTTTAATATCACTAATACTTTTTGTGTTCAGGTTCACAAGAATAGAAAAACAACATAACTTGTTTTTCATCTGGGACTGATGGCTTAGAACTCCAAAAACATTGGTTGTTAGATTTGTCCAAATGTACATACTTTGTTATTAAAGACTAGGATGGCCTTTGAAACAAGCTCACAGATATAGAATGAGGTAACCAAAATATGCATTAAAATACCTAATCTCACCTCAAATGTCAGACTATAGAACGAAGAAATAAAATGTATTTCTCAAGTCATATTTTAATCATTATGAGAATAAGTACAAAGTCATTTATAGTTTCTAATATTTGTGTTCCTTGTCCACTGGAGATGGTTGGAATACTTTATCCAAATTGGGACTTGAAGAAACTAATCAGGCCCCACTATTTGTCAGAAACTCGGTGGGGACTTTAACAAAGTCAAATTTATTTAATCTTAATAACAATCTTATATGATAAATAATAATCACTGCATTTTCCCACCAAAAAAAGAAAAAATAACCTAAGTTTCAGAAGAGTGATTTGCCCTACAGAGCCACTATCTAAAGCTATTTTCTGATTGTGAATCAAGTGTTAATTTATAGGATATACCACAGGTTTTCAATTGCTAAAAGAAGTTATGTATAGAATATAAAATTTATATACTATATGCCTACCACTCTTCTGAATGCTTTATGTGAATAATCATATTTTTCAATGAGGACCTGGGTCCAGAGAAGGTTATAACTTACCCAGGTCCCACAGCTAACAAAGAGTAGTTTTAGATTGAAAACTTGAGTATTTGGCTCCAGACATATGTTGTTATTCACATTTTATTACCTTCTTTCAATGAAGCATTTGGAGCAGGTGTACATCTCACTTGTATTTAAATACACTTAAATATAATATTATAGTGATGACTTAAATCATGGTTGAGGGCATAATGAGTCTCCTTTCTTCATTCCATGATAATACTAAATGTGCACTAGAGTTGACTGAAATGGTTTTTTCCTCTTATTCATTCTTTTTTTTGTGTGTTGTTCTGGCTATGATGATTGTATAAATTCAGTATTATACATTTTCAGGTTTATTATTTGTGAAGTGTCAATCTCTTCTGTTAACTTTTAAGATAATCTGACCAGATGGCATTAAGAATACATTAATTAAATTAGAAGTTATAATAAAAATATACTCTCTTTGATGCTCAGGAAGGCTTAACATTTCATTCTCTTTCTTCTGTTTGTCTTCAGTAATCCCAAATGTCATGAATAATTACATATCATTATTAAAGAAAAAAAACAACTCTGTTGAGATAGAAATTCTACCAGATGCTATTATAATTATTGTTTCTTGCAGTTTAAAGTATAGGCAATTGTTTGGAGACACATTAAAAGAAAATGGACATTTGTTTTATTGAAGCTACTTGTTATATGCTATATTTGTGTTCATATGTCTAATATTATGGGCCAACTGTTTTTCTTCAATCTTCATACATGCTAACTAGCAATAATTTTAACCAAAATAAATCTTGGTTGTTAGTCTTAATGACTAACCAGAAACATTCGATTTGCCTGTGGCATAAAAAATACTATGCCTGTAATAGCAAAAATACTCTTTAACAGCCAAAATAATATACTAATTTCAAATAGAATAACTCATCACATGACATTTCTACCTTAATGTCTAGGCTTTGAAATTGTCATAATAATGACTAAGCAGGTAAGTGCTGATTCTACAGTCTTACTTCAGTGATTCTTACGCTTTATAATAGTTTGAACTTACCTGCAGATAGTGTTTCTTTTGTTTGGTATTGTTTTGTTTGTTTTGTTTTTAAGAGGTTCTCAGGCTTCCCTCTCAAAAATGCTGAATTAGTAGGACCAAAGTAGGTCCCAGGGTCTGGATTTTCAACAAGCACCTGCTCAACCTGCCTTGGTGCTTTTTCTAATGCAAGTTGTCTGCAAATGCTCATTTTGAGAGAGACTACCGAGGATTTGGAGGATAGCTGTCCATCAGAATTACACAAGAAGTGATTTGAGCATTCACATGCCATAGCACATGGATACCTTCATAGAATTCTACGCCAGGTTTCTGCAGCACATCCCTGAATAAGAACAACTATTGAAGTCACTTATGAACCTTACCAGAAAGACAAACCCTCTTTTAAGCCCCCTCCCTTCCTTCCTTTCTTTCCATTTTCTCTCTCTCTCTCTGTGTGTGTGTGTATGTGTGTGTGTGTGTTTTGAGATAGAGTCTCACTCTGTCATTTAGGATGCAGTGCAGTGGCATGATTTTGGCTCACTTCAACCTCTCCCTGCAGGGTTCAAGTGATTCTCCTGCCTCAGCCACCCTAGTAGCTAGGATTACAGGTGTGTACCTCCATGCCTTTCTAATTTTTATATTTTCACTGGAGACGGGGTTTTGCCATCTTGGTCAGGCTGGTCTTGAACTCCTGGCCTCAAGTGATCCTGCCTCTGCCTCCCAAAGTGCTGGGATTACAGTTGCAAGCCACCACACCTGGCTTCCTTTTTCTTTTTTAAAGATACAGGCCTCGTTCCTGCTGTGCTTTTTTGTTTTCCTTTTGGTTTTGGTTTTGTTTTTGTTTGAAACTCTAGAGAACACACTAGCTTCCCCATGTTTGTATAAACCGATAAACAGTGATTGATGGTGGAATTGACAGAATCTTGAATGCTGCTTTTTGGATTTGGCACAATATTTATAGAAGACAAGTGGCCTTTTGTGTGTCATTAATTCAGAGAACAGTCAGTACAGTATTAATATTCAAGATAGTAGATTCATGGAATAAATTTTCAGGCAGCAAAGATTATAACAAAATTTGAATCCAATCTCTAACACCTACCCTTCCCACCAGTGAAAGTACAATATGAATGGACAAGGGCAGCTCTTCTCATTATGATCTTTAGACTGTCATCATTGAGGCTAATTCTAATCTCACACTATGGATGATGAGTAGTTGAAATCCAATTTGAATGCATAATACTACATTTAATTTACACTACCACCTGTCAATAGGAAATCGACTGAGGCATATCTTCTGAGATATCCATAGGGAATATTCAATTATAATTAACCTTCCTATTTTTGTAAAATCTTTGTCCTGAAATGGATTGTTTGTGCCATTTCTTATTCTTGTAACAATCTGTCACTAGAAGGAATTTGAATTTTAACCTAATACTCTCTGAGAAATACAATAGAGAATGTTTCTTTTAATCTCCCAGTACTACTATTGGTTATCCATTTTATTTCTTTTCCATAGGTTATGGCTGAGGTTGTAATTTTAGTGCAGGTGAAGGATAATTTGGCAGACTGTGGAAAATGATTTCTCTAAAACTATATTGAATATGATATATAGCAAATAGAAAATACTTTTTTCTAGCCCAATATTAGAGAAAAAATTCTTTTAGCTCAAATGATGCAATTCATAGCATATGAACTCATGCTAACATGTAGATAAATTTGTAAAACTACTTTTAAGCAATAATTAGCTGCTACACATAACCTAAAAACCATAAAAATATGATTTAGATGTTGTCTCTAAACATTGTAATGATGAGAAAATACCTTTTACCGAAAATCAGTCCCCCTATTTAAGAATGTATCTTCTATTGGATCCATTTATTGACAACTAAAAATGTTACCTGTTTTCCTTTACTCTCTTTTTCCACCACAATTTGTAAAATTAATGAGTCTATGGCACTTCTCTAGCCTACATATTTTAGCAGCATATAAATGTGTATTATGACTCTCACTGTATGAGGAAAATAGGACAGATCAGAGGCTTTTTTTACATCATGAGAAGGTCCCTCTTTATAGTTCCATTGAGTTTGGGTCAATTCTCAAATTTGTGCGGGCAGCATAAGAACAAACCATCAAAAACCAGTTAGTGCTATTTACGTATCCAAAACCAAAATGAGTTAATACACAAAAACCACTTGAACGATGCCTAGCACATTGTATGCAACCAACAAATGTTAGCTCAATATAATTTTTAAATTTTAAATATTTTCAATAAGGTGGGTGTTTTAAATGTAAATTTAACTCTGTCTAGGGAGAAATATTCTCAGCTATAAATAAGAAAGCAACTGATGTTCTCTGTTTTCTTATCACAAGGAAAGGGAATATTGTCAGACTTTTATAGTTATTCACTTTGAATGTCTACTTAAGGAAAAATTTGAATGGTGCAGTACTTTTATAGAAATAAATAAGTGACATTTGAGACTCAAGTGATAAAGTCTTTGAAGTAAAAGTTGAAACTTTGTAATATCTAAAAGGGGACAGTAGTAGAATATGAGGTTTAAGTGTGTTCTGGGGGCCAGCCAGCTTCTCTGTGCCTTAGTTTCCTGACCTGCAAAATGTGAAAAAGAAACAGTTCTTTATTAATATATTTGTTATTAAGATTTAATGACTTCATATTTGTAAAGCACTTATAAGCGGTCATGGGCATATCATAAACACCGCAATGACCATATTATAAGCACTGTGTTGTTAACTGATATAGTTTGGCTGTGTCCCCACCCATATCTGACCTTGAATTGTAATAATCCCCACATGTCAAGGGTGGGGCCAGGTGGTGATAATTGAATGATGGGGGCAGTTTCACCCGTACTGTTCTCCTGTTAGTGAGTAAGTCTTAGGAATTATAATGGTCTTATAAATGGGAGTTCCTCTGCACAAGCTCTCTTGCCTGTTACCACGTAAGACTTGACTTTACCCCTCATTCACCTTCCACTATGATTGTGAGGGCTCCTCAGCCATGTGGAACTGTGAGTCAATTAAACCTCTTTCCTTTATAAATTACCCAGTCCTGGGCATGTCTATTACCAGTGTGAGAACAGATTAATATATTAATTATTAAATAAATACAGTTGACCCTTGAGTAGCACAGTTTGAACTGAATGGCTCCAATTATATGCAGATTTTTAAAATAAGTATATTGGAAAATGTTGTGGAGATTTGCGACAATTTGAAAAAACCCACAGATGAGCTCCATAGCCTATCAATGTCAAAAAAATAATAAAAGGTTATGTCATGAATGCATACAACATGTAGGTTCTAGTCTATTTTATCACTTACTATAGAGTATATACAAATCTATTATAAAAAGTTAACATTTTCTAAACTTACGCTCAGATTACAGACCTTAAATGGTGCCATTTGCAGCTGAGAGAAATGTAAAGATGCAGTATTAAATCATAACTGCACAAAATTAACTGTGGTACATACTACACTACTGTAATAATTTTATAGCCGCCTCCTGCCACTATTGCAGGGAGCACAAGTGTGGAGAGTATCTACTTAAAACACCATGTGATGCTCATAATCTCCATGTGAGCAGTTCCTCTCTCCAGTAAATTGGGCATCACAGTAAAAAGTGATCTCTCATGGTTCTCGCATGTTTCATCATGCTTAGTGCAATATCATGAACCTCGAATAACACCACGAGGCCCATACAAAGTGCCACTAGTAATGCTGGAAGTGCTCTCAGGAAGCAAAGAAAAGTTAGGGTGTTATAAGAACAAGTTGAATTGCTTGATATATACCATAGTTTGAAGTCTGCAGCTGCGGTTGCCCACCATTTCAAGATAAATGAATCCAGTGTAAGATTAATTGTATAAAAACAAAAAGGAAATTTACAAGGTTGTCGCTGTAGCTATGCCAGCAGGCACACAAACCTTGCATGAGATAGATACGTTGAAAATGGAGCTTTTATGTGGATGCAAGATTGTTATAAGAAAGGCATACCTATAGAATGCAATATGACTCGAGAAAAAGCAAAGTTATTTTATGGCAACTTAAAGCAAAAGGAAGATGAAGGATTTAAAGCTGGAGAATTTTAATAGTAGCAAAGGATGGTTTGATAATTTTAGTGGTTTGGCTTTAAAAACATCGAGATAACAGGAGAAGCAGCTTCTGCTGACTAAGGCAGCAGACAAGTTTCCAGCTGCCATTAAGAAAATCATTGAGGAGGCCAGGTGCAGTGGCTCACACCTATAATCCCAGCATTTTGGGAGGCCCAGTCGGGAGGATTGTTTGAACCCAGGGGTTCAAGACCAGCCTGGGTAACATTGTGAAACCCTGTCTCTACTAAAAAATAAAAAAATGAAATACAAAAATTAGCCAGGAGTGATGGCGCATGCCTGTAGTTCTAGCTACTCAAGAAGCTGAGTTGAGAGGATCACCTGATCCCAGGAGGCAGAGGTTGCAGTGAGCTGAGATTGTGCCGTTGTGCTCCAGCGTGGGTGTCAGAGTGAGACCCTGTCTCAAAAAAACAAAAAAAGAAAATCATTGAGGAGAAAGGATATGTGCCTGAACAGGTTTTTAATGCAGGTGAAAGTGCCATATTCTGGAAAACAGTGTCAAAAAGGACATTTATTAGTAAGAAAGAGTGTCATAAAGGACTTTTATTATTAAGGATTTAAGGCAAGAAAGGATAGGCTAACTCTTCTGTTTTGTGAAAATGCAACCAGGTTTGTAATCAGGACTACCCTTATCTATAAAGCTGCTGACTACAAAGAGAAAAGATAAACACCAGTTGCCAATCTTTAGTATAACAAGAGGCACTGAGCAAGGAGAATGCTTTTTCTGGATCGGTTCAATTGATGTTTTGGCCCTAAAGTCAGGAGTACCCTTCCAGGAAGAAACTGCCTTTTAAGTTATTTTTATGTTGAACAATGACCCTGGCAACCCAGAATGCCATGAGTTCAACAACAAATGCTTCAAAGTGGTCTACTTTCTCCCAAACACAACATCTCTAATTCAGCCTCTTGATAGGGAGGTCACAAAGATCTTTAAGGCACATAACACATGGAGCTCTATGGATAAGATTTGTCAGTGCTACGGAGGAGAACCCTGATAGAGACAGTATCGTAAAAATATGGGAGTATTACACCACTGAAGGTGACATCATTGTTATAGTAAAAGCCATGAAAGCCATCGGGCCTGAAACGATAAACTGTTAAAAAGAGCCCTGTCCAGAGGTTGTGCATTGCTTCCCAGGATTTATGGCAGAGCCCATCAAGGAATTCATATAAGGGATTGTAGATATGGCCAAAAAAATACTGGGAGGGTTTCAGGATACAGATTTTGGAGAAATGCAGACACTTATAGACACTACACCAGAAAAATTCAAAGAAGATGACTTGATGGAGGTGAGTGCTTCCAAACCAGTGGCAGACGGTGAGGAAGAAGACATAGAGGAAGCAGTGCCAGAAAACAAGTTGACAGTAGAAAATCTAGCAGAAGGGCTTTGATTATCCGAGACTGCTTTTGACTTCTTTTATGACGTGGAGGGCACAGAAACTAAAGCAAACCATGAGAGTATTGGTACCATATAGAAACATTTTTAGAGAAATGAAAAAGCAAAACAGACAGAAATCATGGTATATTTCTGTAAAGTTGTACACAGTGTGTTTTCCCCTCCAGGCTCCCCTTCCACCTCCTCCAACTCTTCTGCCTCTGCCACTCCTGGAACACCAATACCAACCCCTCCCCTTCTTCCCCATCCTCAGCCTACTCAAGGTGAAGACAATGAAATGAAGACCTTTATGATGACCCACTTCCACTTAATGAATAGTAAATATAGTTTCTCTTCTTTATGATATTCATAAGAACATTTTTTCTGTAGCTTACTTTATAGTGAGAATATGGTATGTAATACATATAGCATACAAAATATGTGTTAACCGACTGTTTTTGTTATTGGTAAGGTTTCTAGTCAACCAAAGGCTATTACTTGTTCAGTCTGGGGGAACTGTCAAAAGTTATACAGAGATTTCTGACTGTGTAGGGGTTCAGCACTCCTAGCCCCCTTGTTTAAGGATTAACTGTATATTTACTTTTGTCTTGTATTTTCTTTCAACTATCAAGTAATTTTTCCCTAATGATACAAACCTGCCACTTCATAGTCAAGGACCAAAGATCATCACTTGACTCTGTTTTAGAAAATAAATGTGCACTTAGAACAAGGTACGTAATTTCTCATTTCATCTTTGTAAGGATCCTCTAAGGCATGTACTTATATCCCAATGTATAGATGAGGAATGAGTGACTGAGGAGTAAAGCATTTGGTTTTAGACTTTCCCTTCAAGGGCTTGTAATCTTAGTCAAACAGGAGAATAGGGAGAGTCAAACATTTTTAGATGATCACCAGTACATTTTCTTTTCTTCTTTTTTTTCTTTTTCTTTTTCTTTCTTTCTTTCTTTCTTTTTTTTTTTTTTTTTTTTTTTTTCAGATGGAGTTTTGCTCTTCTTGCCCAGGCTGGAGTGCAGTGGTGCAATCCCAGCTCACTGCAACCTCTGCCTGCCGAGTTCAAGCAGTTCTCCTGCCTCAGCCTCCCGAGTAGCTGGGATTACAGGCATGCACCACCACACCCGGCTAATTTTTTGTTTTTTAGTAGATATGGAGTTTCTCCATGTTGGTCAGCCTGGTCTTGAACTTCCAACCCCAGATGATCCACCCGCCTTGGCATCCCAAAGTGCTGGGATTACAGCCATGAGCCACCGTACCCGGCCTGATCATCAGTACATTTTCATATTGTCATCTGTTCTTTGAAAGGAAGAGACACTATTTCTTGGATGAAATCAAGAAGTCCACTTTCCAACTGACTGTTGATTTTGGGCCAGGCACAGTGGCTCATGACTGTAATCCCAGCACCTAGGGAAGCCGAGGCGGGAAGGTCACTTGAGCCCAGGAGTTTGAGACCAGCTTAGGCAACATGGTGAAACCCTACATGGTGAAAAAAATACAAAATTTAACCAGGAGTGATGGTGTGCATCTGTAGTCCCAGCTATTCAGGAGGCTGAGTTGGGAGGATTGACTGAGCCTGGGAGGTGGAGGCTGCAGTAAGCTGAGATCGTGCCACTGTACTCCAGCGTAGGTGACAGAGTGAGACTCTGTCAAAGAAGGGAAAGAAGGAAAAGAAAAGAAAGAAAGAGAGAGACAGTTGATTTTGTGTGGTTTTGCTTTTCCTCCCAGGGCTGCATTGTTATTATTACAAGGGAACTTCTATGCCAAGCTTTAGTAATCTTGGATTACTGGATTTAGTGCCTGAAAGGGAGCTTTAGTTCACTAGGACATGTTAATTCACCTCATGTATCTCCTATTATGACAAGTGTGACTTTACCCTTTTACCTACAATTGCTATGGCAGCTACACAGGATCTTTCTCAGTGTTCCTATTTCGTGGGAATCTTGAACTACAATTTTCACAAAACATTCACCTAATAGGTGTGAATATATATTAAATCAATAAAAAGTACACCTATATCAATTTCCACTAAGAACAATCAAAGGAAATAAATGTGAAAGATGCCTTGGGTTTTCTGGGATCTTTTCAAGCACTTGTAAGGATTTGAGTGTGAAATTTTTTTTTTTTTAATCTAAAGAATAGGTTTGTATTTTTTTTTCTTTTGCATCCTTGTGTATCAAATTTTTGTCACATATCTTCACCTTCCTTCTTCAAATATAGTTCTTCCTTAAGGTAGCAGGAGATTTTCATTTTGAGTAGCTAATTTATTTATCAGTATTACCTGTAGATAACTTATGACAGAGACAAGCTACACATGGAAGGAACAGACCTTTCTGTTCCAAAGTGATTTATATTTATTGAAGCTAACCTGTTTCTATTGGTATTTACTTTTCTTAAACCTGGCAGCAAGCAAAATTCTACTATTTTTTTTAGTGACTGGTGGGGATAGTCTCTTAATCAGAAACACATAACAAATATAAAATACTGGCAATATGTGTTTCTTGATAAAGTAAGTTAGCAATACAGGAAGATCCAATGTTCTATACATAGAATGCAAATTTCAGAACAATTTAATTCAGTTATTCAGAAACTAGTAAACAAAAATATGTTTTCATGTTTACTTCATACCATGTGACATACATTTAAAGAATTACTGATTGATAATAAAGGACATGATAACAAATGTGAATCAAACTTCATAACAGTTATATGAGTATTTTTATAAGTATTACCAACTTTATATTTATAGATTGGATATTAACTGTATATGGTACTATTAGATAAATTCAATATTTATAATAAACTTAGCATATATTAGCATATTAGTGTGTGTATATATGCTATATGGCATTGGAAACATATATATATGCACACATACACATACATATATATGCACACATATATATACATATATACACACACACACATATGTATATATATCTGATATGGTTTGACTGTGATCCCACCCAAATCTCATCTTGAATTGTAGCTCCCATAATTCCCATGTGTTGTGGGAGGGACCCAGTGGGAGATAAATGAATCATGAGGATGGTTTCCCCCATACTGTTCTTGACATAGTGAATAAGTTTCATGAAAACTAATGGTTTTATAAGGGGAAACCTCTTTTGCTTGCTTCTCATTCTGTCTACCCTGCCACCATGTAAGACATGAGTCGCCTTCTGCCATGACTGTGAGGCCTCCCCAGCCACAAGAAACTGTGAGTCCATGAAACCTCTTTTTCTTTATAGATTACCCAGTCTCAGGTATGTCTTTATCAGCAGCATGAAAACAGACTAATAAGGTATCCAGTTAAACAAATCTTCATATTTTATACAAAAAGATTACCTTTTTGAGAATTATGCATTTTATCTCTTACCTGCTATTAAAGAGGGTCTCCCATTGTGTTTTTCACATAGTGAGTCTTGGCCTGTGAACATAGTTGTGTTAGTCTGTTTTTGTGTTGCTATAAAGGGATACTGGAGACTGGGTAATTTATAAAGAAAAGAGGTTTAGTTGGATCATGGTTCTGTAGGCTATACAGGAAGCACGGTGCTGGCATCTGCTCAGCTTCTTGTGAGGCCTCAGGAAGCTTTCAATCATGGCAGAAAGCCAGAGGAGAAGCTGGTGTAACACATGGTGAGAGCGGGAGCAACAGAGAGGAGCTGCCCCACTCTTAAACAACCAGGTCTCACATGAACTCAGAGAGAGAACTCACTCCTTAACAGGGGTTGGCGCTAAGCCATTCGTGAGAGACATGCCCCCATGATCCAATCACCTTTCCGCAGGCCCCTCCTCCAACTTTGAGGATTACATTTCAACATGAGATTTGGAGCTGGAAAACATCCAAATAATATCAATAGTTAAAATATTTAATTAGCTCTTAACTCTTTGATAATTTTAATCAAGTATATCTATATCAGGGAAGTTTTTAATAGAATTTCTTTGTCTTAAGTACTTAAAAATTATTTTGGGATCTTTTCCTGTAATTCAGTGAAGGCTCCAAAAGAACATTTAATATATCCAGCATAATTTTGCAAGATTCTATAACTGGAAAATTAAAAGGAAAAAAATTCAGAAGTATTGTCTAGTGATTATGGGAGGAAATAACTCTCGGTAGTATTGAATTCAATAACTTCCTAGCCACCTCTTCAGATTGCTTCAGGGTAAATGTTGACCAGAGGCAGAACCAGATTCTGTGTTGACAAAAATGTTTTCTTAAAAATATAATCCTTTGGCTGGGCATGGTGGCTCACGCCTGTAATCTCAGCATTTTGGGAGGCTGAAGTAGGTGGATCACAAGGTCAGGAGTTTGAGACCAACCTGACCAACATGATGAAACCCCATCTCTACTAAAAATACAAAAATTAGTTGGGCTTGGTGGCACGTGCCTATAATCCCAGCTACTCAGGAGGCTGAGGCAGGAGAATCGCTTGAACCCAGGAGGTGGATGTTGCAGTGAGCTGAGATTGTGCCACTGTATTCCTGCCTGGGTGATGGAGCGAGACTCTGTCTCAAAAAGAAAAAAATATATATATATATATGGATTTTATATATATATGTATTATATATATGGATTTATATATATATGGATTGTATATATATATGGATTGTATATATATATGGATTGTATATAATATAGATTATATATATGGATTATATATATGGATTATATATAGATTATATATGTAGAGATTATATATGGATTATATATATGGATTATATATAGATTATATATGTAGAGATTATATATGGATTATATATAATTTTAATAAATATTTAAATTTAATATATATTTAAGTTTATTTAAAATTATATATATAAAATATATATATATATATATATATATATATATATGAGACAATTTTTATAAAATAGTGTACCCAAATTGGAAACAATAGAGGGACACTTCTACTGGGGTTTTATACATGGTCTTAATACCACTTTCAACCTAATATGATATTCTGTATACAAAACAGAATGTGAATTCTCAGCCCACAGTTTGTCAAGTCTATGTTCTCCCAGATTTTTCTTTTTAGAAAATGGTAACACCATTTGCTCAGTTGAAAAAATGTAGGTTATGATTCATTACTTTCACCTGCATACTATCTGTATGCTCTAGAGATGTTTCTTTAAAATAGGCCATGCCAGATCTTACCATTTCTTACCCTATCTGTATCCATAATGCTAGTTCAACGCACTGTCATCTCTTTCAGGGAATACTGCGATAATATCCAAACACATCTCCCTACTTTTAATCTCTAACAGCTGTGTTCCATAGAGCATCTAGAATTAATCCTTAACAATAATTTTAACAAATCACCTTTCTTTCCTATACAAGATCTGCCCAATAACTCCCTATTATAATTAGAATACAATCTAAAATTCTTGTTATGACTTACAAGAACCTATATTATACAGCCTTTCCTGGCTCTCTGGATAGTTCTTACCTTACTCGTTACACTACACCTACCTTTTAAGTTCATTTTTATCTTGGGACCTCTGCACATGCAGTTCCACGCAGACTGGAATGCCCTTCCATGTCATCCTTGCATGGCTGACTTCTTTAGTACATTCAAGTCTCTCTTCAGAAATAACTTTCCTTAACAACCATTTCCAAAGGTGTGCTAGTGAACTGTCTTTCTGAGAAAAAGAGGAAGCTCTGATTTATAGCTTTTGTCAGTTTCTGTGGTATATAACTACCACCACAATTTCAAGTACCCAGTGGCTTAAAAAACTTACTTATGAAATTTCTGAATATTTTATAATCAGCTCTCTCGAGCCAGTACATACTGGCTCCAGCATACCACTGATTCTGGAATATTCACTGCCACCCCCTGCCCACCTATTTCTCTTTTTTCCTCTATTACCTACCTAGTTTATTTTATTTGCACTGCGTGAAAATATCTATGTGTTTCTCCTTTGTGTTTCTTCTCAAAAATAGATATGCCATTTAGAGCAGGGGCTTTGTCTAATTTTCTACTGTATCCTTGATATCCAAAACAATCCCTGGAAAATGGTAGATATTCTGGAATCATGTGCTCAATAAATGAATAAATACGTGAGTTAATGTTGCATGCTATCCTTGGTCATCTCAAGAAAGCCAGAGGCTGGAGCTCATGCCTTTTAATTCTTCGTAGCAATGTCTCCTTTTTGTCCACCTCAAATGAGAGAAAAATCTGGGAAAAAGTTATCCTATGTTTGAAGGGAGCAGGTGAGGAAAGTTCTAATCTTTCATCTGAATCTTAAGTTATTTCATCTGAAAGCTTTTTTTTTGTTATACAGATAAAATCACCCCAATTTTTTAAAAAAATCTTTTTGCACATGGTTAAAATGCTGCTGAGATGTCTTGGTATTTTGATTTTTATCATCTAACCTGGCTTTTCATTACTTAAAATCTACCAATAGTTCACATTTGCTCAATTAAGTCTGATGATGATTAGCTTATTACTTCCATAATTATCCTCTGTATAATAGCTACATAAAAAGATAAACTTCTTAACAAAATAAAGCACAATTTGAAATCATTTTCCGCAGAGCCAACCCCAGTTTGACAATAAGTTTTACTGCCTTTGAATACCTTCTCCTGTAATAAAGCCAAATGGATTTTCCATTATTGCAAACTACTCACATAATACCAGCAGGATAAAATGATGATTCTGAAGACAGAGTAAATAATCAGTGACTCAATGTCCCCATTTAAGTTAAGAAGTAAAACAGTTATGTTTTCCTCCCTCCCTCCTGTGGCCAGTGAATGATCTATTTGATATATTTGGAATTACTTGTAGGTAAGGCAAAGATCCTCTGAGTATCTGAGATATCCAGCCTTGTTTCATTAAACACCTCCTGTTTGAGAGAGTGTTTTTGGCAATTTACTTTACCTTCATGAATTGCCAACTTTGAGACCTAGAGAATTCTGTTCTGAAACATGCTCTTCCGTGACATAAAAATATCCAGCTGTATGGTATGTGCTCATCTTGCCTCAAGACAGTGACCTTTCCAGGGTTATTTGGAATTTGGCTAGTTCTTTGCTATGCTGGATATTTTGAAATTGGCAAGGACATTAAACTGTTAACTAGATTTCCCCCCCTCACTTCTGTAAACAATAAACTTAACACAAAATTTTATTCTCAAGGAAATGATCCAACAGTGTTTCCTTGGTTCTGATTTGCTGCTGCATTAATAGCATTATCATTAAAATAATTTCCTCCTTGTTCTAGAAATATGTAAGTATAAATCCTTTTATCAACCATTGAAACTGTGGATTGTTAAACACTGTTATCCAAAGCATTATTTCATGAGAAACAACTGATTTGTGTTTCAATTTGCACATTTTAGAAACAAGCATGTCCATCCTGTACCCCAGTTCTTTGACATATTAAGAGCCGTGTTCCGGAGCCTATAATGAATGATTCGCAAAGGAGAGTCACAAGATAAAGCTCTCCATACTTATATCTGCCAAAAAGAGAATTCTGTTTATAAGAGCTCCTCATGGAAACTCAGGGTGAATCCAGCTTCAAACAGAGGATAAGGTTTGTTTCACTACAGGGATTCAGAAGTTGCTATTTCCACATTTATACAAAATAAACTACAGGCAAGTCAGAATTGCAATCCAAGCAGTGACCTCTATCTGAGCCCCCATAAACCAGATAATTCACCTCTGCCCCAAGCAGACTACAGACTTTGAAGATACATGATGCTGACTGCATGCAGATCTTCTCAGAAAATCTACTGGTAGTTTTGACTCTCCTCTCCAGAAAGAAAAAGACTGTAGAAATATAAACAAACTCATCTCTGATATCCTGAAAGATCTGTTTGTTTTATAGAATTATCTGTTCATGTGACAATTTTAAAATATTTGCGCTCGAATTAAGGTTTCCTGGTTAGAGGTGGAAAGCTGATGATATTTGTATCTAGTCTGAAGGCATGATGGCAATTGTCTTCCTCCTAACAAGTTTAAAACAAGATTTTACTGTGTCAAAATCTTTCTAGTTAGTAAATACTATTTAAACCGTATGAAGTACTAACAAAGATAATTGCTTCCAAGTAACAGGTGGATAATTCAGTAGTAGACTTAATCACAGGATGATGGGTTTTGAATCTATGTAAAAAGTAGGCATACTCCTTCCTTGCATAGGCCTACTCTAGTTACACAGAAGCGGTTATATTTTGGCATTGTACCAGCAATTCTCTTTCATGAAAAGTTATCTTATTTCTGGTAAGCAGTGTATTTAGCCAGATTCATTGTTCTTCTCTTATATATAAACATAGAGATGGTTCCCTTTGTTTTTAAAGGAAAGCAGGAAAGTAATTTATGTTTATAGTCTGTAGACAGACATGATATCACTCAACTTATATATAAAGGGGAGATTAGCTAGACTTAACACCTTCAAGGGGAGTAACCATGTCTCCTTTATAACATATGTGAAATTTCTTCCTCTCTGCTCTCCTACCCACTGGGTGCAATGTATAAGCAAAGGACTGTATATGCAATGAATTTTTAATGGATGAATGGATGGTTGTTATTTATTGTGGCCTGCATCTGAGATTTGATCAGCCTTGTTAGTTTGGATTCCATTTCCATGTGATGGGGCTAGAAAGATCTTGCCAATTCAGAAGTCAAATAAAATGAATAAATATCACTTGATAAAGTGGACAAATCCTTCACAAATTAAAGTGAGACTGTTACTGAAGCCAGATGAGCAAACGTTGGATACACATGTGTATAGCAAAAGCCAACTGGAACTTGAAGTTTTGAATGTCTTACAACAAGCTTGGCCAGGGTGGTTAAAACAAACTGTCATCCATAATGACCCGTGCCAGATCCAGTTAGCTTTAAATAGATTATGCCTGCCTATAATGTGAAAAAAAATTCACTGGTCAGTTGAAGACTACCTGAATATTGTCTGTTTGGTCCATCAGATTGGAAGATTGGTTAGAAGGATGTAAAGATCATTGTGTAAATAAAATGATTGATATTTTTCTAATGACAACATTCACTTGGTACTTATTAAGCCACAACACTAAGCTGAAATGCCACTGAATAATTTTTAACTCAACATGGGAAATTATACAGTACAATTCTCTGAACCCAAATGTAAGAAACATGAGATAAGTCTTTGTCCAGCAGTAAAATACTTGAGACACTCCTGTGACAGGGCTTAGGTGGCTTATAGGAAATGAGTCTGTATTTGTGAGGGGAAAAAAATATTCAGTAGATACCTTAAGTTCAAAAAACACTCAGAATTCTTGACAATAAGTGCACCAGTATTTCTGTAGGTCTACTGAACTATCTAAAACTGGAAACAAGCTTACTTTGTACATTTTAAGCTAATGGATAACTCTAGATTTTGTGATTCTGTGTTTCACATGTAGTGTTGAGAGATTAATACGCTTTTTTTTTTAACAAAACAAAGTGAAAAATCAGAGTAATGATACAGATCAGTGGTTGAAGGAGAAAGATGAAACTGGAGGAGGGAGAGATACATTAGTAACAGAACGACCGGCAGAGCTTTTCCAAATGACTTACATCCCTGGGCTTTTCCCCTTCTGCTTTTGATTCAAAAAATTTTGGATGGGCTTAATGAGAGATATTTTGAGAAAATAATTATGACATTTTCCTTCCTCCTTCAATTTAAGTAATAACCACTGATCCAGATGATGATAATGATGATGATAATAGTAATAATAATAAAATAATAAAATCTGATTGATATAAATAATTCTTCTGCCCTTATTTATTCAGATGAATTTGCAATAACACTTTTCAAGTTAGCATATCATAAAATAATATCCCAAGGGATGTAAATACAACTACCTCAAAAATAGATATGGAGATAAAGTATCATATTTAAAGCAATTTTTTGTAATGTACATTAAATTAACTAGTTTCTTTTTAGTACTAATTCTCAGAGCTTTTAATATGCCAATGCATATTGTGATTCTAACAGAGAAATAACAATATGCACCAATATTACTTGATCAGAACATATATTTTATTTTCCCTTACCCCCACCAGTATTGTCTTTCAAAATAATGTACATTGTGATAGTTTGGACATGTACTTAACACTGTATATAACTTATATTGATTCAGCACATTTATACTTATGTAAGTAATACAGTGGTTCCTCAGTATCTGAGGGGGATTGGTTTCAGGACCTCTGCAGATCCAAAATCCACAGGTGTTCCAGTCCTATGTATAAAATAGCCTATTATTTGCACATAACCTGTGCACACATCCTCCTGTATATTTGATATTATCTCTAGATTACTTATAATACCTGAATCAATTTAAATGCTATGTAAATAGTTGCTATAGTATTAGTATTTTTGTGTTATCTTTTTTACTGTTGTATTGCTATTTTTTATTTTTTAAAAAATATTTTTAATCCATGGATGCAAAAGTCATGGCTACAGAGGGCTGACTGTACTTGTATAAGAGCACTATACTTATCAGTACGGAATACTTATACAAGCATATACTTATATTGAGTTATTCAGTGTCTTGCTTTCCAGAATTTGAAAATAAGGCCACTGTATTTATACCTTTGTAGTGTGGACAATTTTGTAAGCCCTCAATGATAGTTGTCTTGTGTTTCAGGAAAAGGTTCTAATGTTTGAATGGAAAAAACAGGAGTAGTTTTAGAAATTATTATGTTTTAAGTAGTTTGGACAATATGATGAAAGAGAGTGGTAAGAAAGTGATAGTTGTAACAGAAACAAGCAATTATTAAATGACTGCAAAGTATTGGTCATCCTGAGTTGGTTTCTCTGACATGTGTAGACAAATTATGTAGCCCATCTCTGGCCACAAGGTAAGACTTTATATTACATATTTGGTTTACTAATTTACTACAGCTTTATCTGAATAGCTGTACATTTCTCTGAATAATTTCACATTTGTAACTGAGATAGAGGAACTTAACCAGAAGAGATGGAGATGACGGCGCTTGTGAGTTAGGTGGAAAGCTAACTGAGAAGCTGAGAGAGGAGGAAGAATGGAAAAATCACCATTTAGTATGAAACATGGAGACGGAGATAGCCCGTGACTTTGACCGGGCCACCTCAGTCATTGTGTAGGACAAAAGTCAGATTGGAATGTAAAGAGGCAGTGGAAACGTCAATATGACAACTCTGTTCTCTCTGACTTCTAAAATTCTCTTTTAATTACCTCTGTCAGTGAACATGATTCAGTAAAAGTAATTATGTGGGGATTTTGACGGAAGGGGCCAACAAAATGTTAGAACCACCATAATGTGGAGGACAAAGCACTCAGCATTCTGGTTTACTCTGAGGACTGTTTAAAAGTACAAAATGATTGGACTTGGTGGTGCACTCCTGTAGTGTCAACTACTCTGGAGACAGAAGTGGGAGGATTGCTTGAGCACAGGAGTATGCTTCTAGCCTGGACAACATACTCAGGCACTGTCTCCAAAAAAAAAAAAAAAAAAATACAACTTTTTAAAATAACAAAATAGACTATATTTTCAGGTAACATTCCATAAGTATTACTCATTAGAAAAAATACGTATGCCAGCCGGGCACGGTGGCTTACGCCTGTAATCCTAGTGCTTTGGGAGGCCGAGGCGGGTAGGATTAGGAGGTCAGGAAATCGAGACCATCCTGGCTAACACGGTGAAACCCCGACTCTACTAAAAATACAAAAAATTAGCCAGGCGTGGTGGCAGGTGCCTGTAGTCCCAGCTACTGGGGAGGCTGAGGCAGGAGAATGGCGTGAACCCGGGAGGCGGAGCTTACAGTGAGCCAAGATTGCGCCACTGCACTCCAAACCACTGACGACAGAGCAAGACTCCGCATCAAATAAATAAATAAATAAATGTATGCCAAAATATTATGTTCCAAAATGCATTTTATTACCTTGTTGAAATACTTGTTTTACTTTTATGAAGATAGGGGCTCTCATTGTTAGTATTAGCAGTGAACCAAGATTAAAGCAGAACAGAATGACGAGGGAAGAGATAGAACATAGAAGAGGCAGCTTTGGAGAGAGCATTGTGTGACTCGGAGGGTGGTTGGGCCGGGAAGCCCCCTGTATCATTCACTTACTTCATCTATAAAATGCAGATTATAGTAGTAGTGAGTTTGTAAGATTATTATGAAAAGTTAAAGTATTAATACCTTTAAAATACTTGGAATAGTTCCTCGCTTGCTCAATAAATGTTAGTTGCTATTTATGTTGTTGTCGTTCTAACTTCTGGTATGGGTGACAGATAAGCTCATAAACAAATATATAAATAACCCAGTTGTATAAAGGGATAATCACACACACACACACACACACACACACACACACCACACACATTAAGCTAATGGGACAGAAAGCGAAGGATGTTGGTGCTAATTTTGCAAAAGTGATCTGGTCAGGGAAGTCTGTGTGCATGGATGGCATGTGCATGAAGATTTCAGTGATGTGCAGGAGCCAGCTTTTTGAAGATGAGGGAAGAGCATTTCACGGAGGGAGCAGTGCATACAAAGGCTAGCGATGCAAAAGGGTACAGAATGTTCCTTAGAAAGAATGGCCAAAATGCAAAAGTGAGAATAAAGATAAGATCAAGAAAATGTGTATCTTTATATTGACACCAAAAATCTCAAATGACGTAGGCAGAATTACTTTAATATGCCTGATATTGAAACTTGCCAAATATTAACACTTCTCAATAAATATTTATGTACCCATGGAGTGAAATTTAAATGGAAGAAAGAACGTAGCTCTTCCTCTCAATGTGTTTACTATTTTTATATTTAAGTGGTATTCTAATGTGCCCTTGCATAATAGTTGGTAAAGATAATGAACAGTAATGTCCACAGGAAATAAAATATGGAAGAGTTTTAAATTAATATGTTAGCTACCCATGAGAATGGGTAAAATTATTTTTATTGTAATCTTGATAAAAAGAGAACAACGAAGTTAGCCAAGCTATGCAGGATTAAAGCATCTGGTGTACTAGTCACTCATAAGCCCATGTAAGCAGCTCATACTTTTGTGACATCATTTGGTACAAACGAATAAGGTATTTACTAGTGCACAGTCTATTATATTCTAGACAGATTCCACCTAAATTTGTGCTTATGCAGCATAAAGTTCAATTGAGTTCCTTACACTCAGATATATGGGGGCCAAGTACACAGCAATAAAATATTCTTGTTTTTTAAAAGTAGATTTGAGGTTTGAATCCACTGGATTTGTTTTCTATACTCATCAAGTTAACTGTTTTACAATACAAAATATAACTGAGTTTGATTCGTACTGAATAGTCCATAAATAATAAATAAACCATGACTTTTAGAAATATTTTGGAAAGGAAACATGACAATAATGAACATACTCATCTGTAGGGTAGTTTAAGAAATCTATTCTACAAGGAGCAGGTTTGTAATTACTTAGAAATACAAATGTTAAGTCAGAATAAAAATGTCTCAGCATTTTAATTTGGAAATGGCATATGTGTGAGTTCTTTCTTGTTTTTATAAATAACTAGCTATTATGATGGTTTCAGGATACAGTTGTGTAATAATTGCTTGTCTATTATGATTGAAAGCATGAGTAAAATAAAATGTATGTAATAGCACTCCCTCCAATAATAATTGCCCACTCTGTCATATCTGTTTGCTTGTGTAGCACAAAAAGCAAGAACAAAAATAGGCTCCACAAATCACTCATACTAAAAAAAAAATCTGAAATTAAAGTAAATACTGCTATAATACTCTCATATTTTTCATAAATTAGAACAAACATTTTATATATGCTTGCTTTACCTATTAGCTAGTAGATGATTAACATCTTACCGAATCTTTAAGTTACCAATCAATAAATCTTATCGAATATTACCCTTTAAGTCTGAGCTACAAAGAATTTGAGGAAATAACTCTTGACTTCAAGAAGTTTATTAAAGATACAATTTTAGTTTTCAATATTACACGAATGCTTTTTAAGTAAGCAGACTGTGACATTGAGCTAATTAAAAAATAATTATCATTACTGAGTGCTTAGAAACTATAGCAACAAGTGGCTTAGAATTGGAAGGAAAACTGTCCGTATACAATACATGCATGCACATAAATTTACATTATCAGAACATTACTGATATTTATATCTGAAGTCCTAAGTCATAAAATATGGGTATTTGGACTCTGTTAAAAATATCTCCCTTCTATTTTGATGATTAAAGAAATGCAGCCATAAATCTTGTTTAGTTTTTAAAGGCATATAAAGAAAAGAAATGCATGTAATAATGTAGCCCAAATAAGTTCAATTCTATGAAACAACACTGATGTTTTCTAACGAGGAAAATTCTACCCATTATGTTTTTGGAATCTGAAAAAAAAAATGATGAATTTCCTTTCCTATAGACTTGCCATGTGGGAAATGTTCTAACTTTATATTGCAGAAGTGAAACCTTCATGACTTCACAAAAAGAAATGTGCAATACTGAGTGAATTACAATAAACTGAAAATTTCCCTGTGCTCTTTCCTTTATCCTTGAGTAGAATGAAATCTACCATCTAACAGATTCCTGCTGTGACTTTTTACATTGGTATGGAGAGCCGATTCTTAGGGTATTCCTTGCCAAGATGGAGTAATGGTTCTAAAACCTAATAGAAGACTCCTGATTTAAAAGAATTTATAATGTATAAATATGAAAAAAGAGAGTATTCACTCAAAACCAAGACTCCCATGTGTAGAGTAAAAAGTGGAAACATACTCTAATTACAGTGGGGCTGAGAGAGAGCAGGAATTACAAGAATGGAACTGACTAAGTCTTTGGATAAACTTCCTGAAATGTATGGATTTTAGCTACCTTTTTAAAAAAAGGAAGCTACTCAAGTGCATATGAGACTTAGATTCACTACATCTTGGGCCAAGAAAAAACTTTAAAGGTATGGATGTAGCAGTGGGGCAAGCGTTTTGCATAAAGAATAGCAAACTGATGAGAATTGCTGCTATGAGGCATTGTAGAGGAGATAAATAGGAATTAATTTGGAGATCTCTCTAAGAGTGTGAATATTTGTAACAATAGCAAAAGTTCAGTTCTTC
Source organism: Homo sapiens (assembly GCF_000001405.40). Taxonomy (NCBI): domain Eukaryota; kingdom Metazoa; phylum Chordata; class Mammalia; order Primates; family Hominidae; genus Homo; species Homo sapiens. The sequence continues at coordinate 165,128,762 of NC_000005.10, forward strand.
GACGTGTGGAGCATGTTCATATGTATCGCCTGATGTGATACACAAAATCTTCTGAGACAGAAGTATGACTACCATTTCATTGTAGAGATGAAAGCACCAACATGCTTCCCTCTTCTGCAAAATGAAAATAATATAGTACCTATCTCCCTGAGCTGCTGTAAAAATTAAATTAGATTATGCATGTGAACAACTTATCAGAGTGCTTGGCACATTTCAGGTGTTCAACGAATACTTCTGATACTAAAAAGAAAAATGAAGTTAAAGATACCATTCTATGAATACATAGCTATAAAGTAACAAGACTGAGACTGTATTAAAGCTTTCAGACTCCACATTGATTTTTTTCTCATATACTGTATAGTGTTTTTTGTTTGTTTGTTTGTTTTTTGTTTTTTTGAGACGGAGTCTCACTCTGTCGCCCAGGCTGGAGTGCAGTGGCGCGATCTCGGCTTACTGCAAGCTCCGCCTCCCGGGTTCAGGCCATTCTCTTGCCTCAGCCTCCTGAGTAGCTGGGACTACAGGCGCCTGCCACCACGCCCGGCTAATTTTTGTATTTTTGGTAGAGACGGGGTTTCACCATGTTGGCCAGGATGGTCTCCATCTCTTGACCGTGTGATCTGCCCGCCTTGGCCTCCCAAAGTGCTGGGATTACAGGCGTGAGCCACTGCGCCCGGCCATAGCTATTTTTTATATAAAAGATGCAGGGGTTAGGAAATGATTTTCAATTATAGCTAACATAAATTTCTCAATAAATTAGGTTAAAAGAGTACCCACTTATTACATTATCTCAAGTTAATCTCTATTACAAGATCCTCCAAAGAGAAAAAGTATCATCTTTTTGAATTCTGGAGAAATCCAGCCAATTCAGTCTTCTCAGCCAAGATGGAAGCCCTCCCTCTTCCTTTCAATTCAGTGGAGTCTCAGATCCGCAAGTATGATCTACTACCATGGTGTCTGGGAAAGAGGTGCTGGTTCCTTGGTGGTCATAGTCTGCTCTGATTCCTCCGCTCTATCTGCATCCCTGTCTAATGCGATGGCGTTTCCGTCTCCAGTTACTGATCGTGGAGCCTCTCCAGGACTACAGGCTCTTCCTCAGCGGCTGCCAAGCTCCTCTTAGGGAAGCCGGGGAACTTCTGAATGCCCAAGTATACCCTGCTGGAGGCACAGGAATCCTCTTGGAAGCTTTGTCTGGACATGCTTTAATACCGTCCATTTCTACTGTTGCCATACCAAGCCGCTACTGGTCACCACTGTAAATCTTTCTGCTGTTTTTTATAACCACAAAGTATAGCACAATTTCTGTCTGCTTTCATGCACCTAAAACTATTGTGGTTTTTGCCTTTCCCGGTCTCATTAGCTAAAACAAAGAGTTGATAAAGGCACAGGCCCTTTCTCAAGAAACAAAATGTTGTCTGTCTTCTTTCTGCAGTGAAACAGAATGTAAAGTCCAGAAATAAACGTGTAATTAAATAATTGTGTTTTTTTTGACAAAGATACTAACACAATTTAATAGGGAAACGGCAGCATTCTCAATAAATCATGTGAAACTAGATACTAATTCACTCAATAAACAAGGGTTAATTTGAGATGTAGCATAGGTCTGAACATAAAAGTTTCTAGGAGAAAATGTTGGTGACTGTTTTTCAGGCTGTGGGATGAGCAAATATTTCTTACACTGAACACAAAAAGCACTAACCACAAAAAATACCCAAAAATATTTTTTAATCAAAATTAAAATAATTTGCTCATAAACACCAGTAAGACAATGAAAAAGCAAGCTGCATGCTGCTAAAAAAAATTGACAGCACGTGTATTGATAAAATGTGTCCATCATATATAATAAAGTTCACAACTGAATAATAAAAAGGAAAACAACCCGATAAACCTGAAAATAATTTTGAAGGGACACTTCACGCAAGAGGAAATGCACAAATAACAGGAATTCTCAATAGCCTTACTCATCAGTGAAATGCAAATTAAAATCACAATGAGACACTGCTACATATGCAACAGAGTACGTAAAATTATAGAGACTGATAGTGCCAAATGTTTCTATGAATATGAAACAGTGGGGATTCTCATTCAATACTGGTATGTGCATAACAGAAATAACTTCTTTGGAAAATATTTTCTGGGTTTCTTATGTAGTAAAACGTAGACCTCTACTGTGACTCAGCAATTTTTATACCTAGGAACATATCCATGATTAATGAAAATAAATATTCACAAAAATGCTTATACAAAAACGTTCCAGGCATTTTTACTCCTAATAGCCAAATCTGCAGTAAAGCAAATGTTAGTAAACAGAAGAATGGATAAGAAAAATGTGATACATGCATACAGTGGAGTATTACTTAGCAATAAATTATAAATACAACAACATGGATGGATCACACAAAAAATTATGCTGAGTAAACAAAGTCAGATTCTACATATTATAGTATGATTCCATTACAGGAAATTGAAGAATAGGAAGACTGATCTCTATGTTGACAATAAGAAGAATAGTGTTCTCTGAGTGTCAAAACCTTGTTTGTAAAAGGCACAAAGTAACCGTCTAGAATAATAGGAATGTTGGCTATCTTTATTGGGCATAGGACAAAATTGTGTAGACTTGTCAAAGCTGTTCAGGCTCACATTTGATATTTGTGCATTTCATTTCATATTTCAATAAAATAATGTAGAAATTTCTTGAATTGGAAAAAAAAATTGTGAGTCTGGGTAGCCATAAAGTAGATGTCTTTTGAGTAAACCTGGGTGATATTCAGTGATTTATTTAATTGCCAAATTTTTAATTGAAAGAGTACTATGAAATTTTCTTGACATTTATGCCCCAAAGTTGATTTATGATTTTTGAAGTTTGTTTATGTAAAAGGCGACTTAGACCTTTTGTATATAACACAAACTTATAGATAAGAATAAATAATTGGAAGTGATACAATGATTGGAGAGAAGCAATTACATTAATTCAAAAAACAGTATTTAGAACTAAACCTTTATTTATTTATTATTTGATATCCAGGGTTCTCTTCTCCTAGAAGGGCTATATCACAAAGTGGGCACTCATTTTTCAAAAATGCCCTTGAGAATATTCTCATATTACATAATACATGTAGATAAATAAAATTTTTAAAACACCTGGGAATATATAGTGCTTAGGTATGTAAAGACCATTTGGATATAGTTCTCTGTATTGAAAACCAAGCAATTTATTTTTTCTCAGTATCATTGGGTGACCAGTCATGAGATAGGAGTTCAAGAATACTGTAGTAAGCATGATATTGAGATAGAATGTAAGTTCAATTTATTAATAATAGTGGAATTTGTTCAGATTCTTCAATTGCAACAACTCAAATAACATACAAAATAAAACATTTTGTTTAGTGCAACTGTAAGTTTCAAGGCCAGTGAAGTTTCAGGAAACGGGTAAACTTAAATGATACTATTGACCTAAAGTCAGTCGTCTCTCCCCTTTCCCTTTTTCCCTCCCATCTCCTAGTGCAGTTCATCTTACTCATGCGTTATTTTGGGTTTGGATTTTCTGTTTTAATCAGATTTTACTTCCAGAGGCCAGGCACAGTGGCTTATGCCTGTAATCCCAGCACTTTGGGAGGTTGAGGCGGGTGAATCATCTGAGGTCAGGAGTTCGCCACCAGCCTGGCCAACATGGTGAAACCCCATCTCTACTGAAAAAAAAAAAAAAAATACAAAAATTAGCTGGGCATAGTGGTGGGCGCCTGTAATACCAGCTACTCGGGAGGCTGGAGCAGAGAATCACTTGAACTTGGGACGCCGGAGGTTGCATTGAGCCAAGATCGGGCCACTGCACTCCAGCCTGGGCGACAGAGCAAGACTCCGTCTCAAAAAAAAAAAAAAGGAAAAAAAGATTTTACCTCTAGAGAGATGAGAGGTAACAGAAGGGAGTTTCACATTTTTAGATTTGATAATCCAGGAAGAGAGAGAAAACTTCTCTCTCTTTCCTTACGCAAAGATCCTATAGGCGGATTGTAATTGTCCTGGATTGAGTCATATGACCATCTCAGAATTAATAAATTTGGCCAGATAGGTGAAGTCATATAATTGATAGAGCTTGTGTCACATGTTAACCACATGAAGGAGAGACAGACTTGGGAAGAGAAGGTGGAATGGGAGTTGGGCACTTGAGTAGTGATTGGTAGCTGCTCCAGGACCACATATAATGAAGAGAAGTCAGTTAACCTAGGTCATAAAGGAAATATTATCAGAATAATTGAACTAGGGATGCTAGGTAGATCAGAATAGCAGATATATGCAACAAAATTCTGTAAATAATAAGTATTCTGTGTCTGAGTCCAGCAAGTTGACAACAGCTGTGTCAGTAATATGAAAGGGGGATTTAGTAGAAAAGTTATTAACTAGTAATAGGGATTATATTCTAAGAGGGCCACAGTCTACAGAATGCAGGAATAGTAGATGTAAAGAAGAACTATTACCTCCAGTGTTGAGGTAGAGCATCTAAAGGAACCAAGTTGGAAAAGGACACTGTGCTTCTCAAAGCTGAGATTCAGAGTTCATTGCAAAGGGTATGACTGTGGCTGGCCCTCTAGATGGTGGAAATGTTTATTGAGTTGTTTAGGCTAGGAATGGCAGTAAGAAATTCCACACTAGTGTACCTGAGGTACTTTTGGCCTACTGGGAACATTAATGAAGCTTATCACCATGCTGCTGGTGAAACTCACCAGGACTCATTCTTCTGGGCAATTGGCAAAACTCACTGGGAAGCTTCCAAGCAGGATGCTAGAAAAACTTAGCTGTAAACCTCGAGTCTCCTGCACTCCTCCATGCACTGGCAAGGGCACAGCACCTCAGGTGTAAGAAAGCGAGTACCAGACCAGGAAGGGAAGCCCCTTCATTCTGTAGTGTCCATCCAATAAATACTCTTACTGGTCTAACATTGTGACAACTGATAGAGAAGATATGTTTACAAGGTCCGGCATCAGTTGCACAAAAGTGAACAAAGAAGAGTAGATTTGGAGCTAAGAGACAATAAGTTGATAACTGACACATGCCATTTTTACCTGATCAATCTATATTTTTCTGATCAAGCAATATAGAAAGATGAATCATGCCTGAAAAACAATTTATTGATTTGCCCTAACACCTCACTTGCATAGACCAAAAAATACTCAAATCCTATGAAATACTGCCACCATTACTAACTCTACTTCTAATATAACAGCTGCCATTTTTAATATATGCCAATTCTTGTGCCAGATGCTTTACATTCACTACCTCATTTAATACTCAAAACAGCTTTATGAGCTGGTACATGTACTAACCCCATATTAGTAAACTCAGAAATGAAGGGCTTAAGGTTGGAAGAGTAAAAGCACTGAGATTCCAATCCAGGACTATCCATACACCACACATTCTCGCCAAGTAGGTAACTCTCCTTGAAAGCCCCCAGATTGCTTGTTGGCATGGAATCAAAAAAATGGAATACGATGAGCTAAATGTTAAATAACATCAGATGAAGAAAGCTTGGGCAGTTATTTCATCCCATATGTAACGAATGGTCTTGCAGGAATAGTACTGACCACAACGTGTCAAGAGTTACAAAATTAATTGCCTATAGTAGACTGGTGGATAATGCTTCACAGTGAAGTAATACTGTAATAAATTGTCAGGCATTCATGGAGACTGGAGAGTGCATGCCGTGTGGAATGGGGCTATTGCTCCTCAGTCGCACTGATGACCAGACTAGAAAATAAAACCATATCATCCTGATTTTTCAGGAAAAGGAAAAAAAAATAGAATGTTTATGTGAAATCTCCTATTTAAAAAGAATATTGTCAATGAATTAAAATATTTTAAAAGGCACTGTGAGAACCAAAAAATACGTCAGCAGTGCCCTGTGGTTAACCAGTTTGATATCTGTGTCCTGTATTTATCTCAGAATAGACACACCTCTTGTCACTGGGACAAGTTGAAGGTGCCCTGCCCTCTTGATAATGATTGGATGGACACTGCCAGGGTTTGCTTCTGTGATTACTACTCTTAAATCCAATCTACCTCCACTGCCATGTTCTTTTGATCTGATAATACATCCCATCAGGAAATAGAGAACTCAGGCAGGCCTGGAAAGTATTTAGCCTTTTAGTGATTTTTCAAAACTTTGGACTACTTCATTATATATTACTCTGTCAGCTAAGCTTCATTATTTTATTATTAAAAACTTTGTTAAAAACCAGATGAACATCTATCAAACATTTTAAACATTTTGTAACTTTATTTATTATCTTTCCTTGTTTTACTAAAGTATTTTAAAATAAATTCCAGATATTGTGGCATTCAAATCTCCCATATTTCAGCATATATCTCTAAAAAAAATTTTTTAAATCAAACTTATTGCCCCAGTGCCATTAGCCAATCTATTAAAGTTAACAGTATTTCATTTATCCCACAATGTTTCATATTCTGGTTTTTTTTTTCTCTCTGCTTCCTTGTGGTATTTACTGCATTCCCTTTCCCTTATATTTCTTGTTAATGGATATTAGCTCTAGAAACTTTCGTGGGTTCATGTTTTAGTAAGAATACTTCGCGGAGGCACTGGGTGGAGTTTAGCTTTTTGAAATCAATGCTCTTGCTCTCATCTCCTGGTTTGTGGCACTGCAGTTCAGGGTACTCCCCCAATTAACAACAACCATTTTAGTTTCTTCCACTTCTGAGAGTGTCTTCTTTGAAATCACAAGCAGATAAAGAAAACTCACAGCGGGCTGTTTGTCTTTGATCTTTCCTTCTTTCTAGCTGTGACCATCAGTCATCCATTGTTTTTTCAGTCCCTGTCTAGGACCTACTCTCATCCTCCCTTCTGAAAGTTTTCAAAAATTATCTTTCTGCATGCCCAAACAACAGTGCCTTCAGAGCATATGTAACACAGATACACATCAAGAAGGGAATTGAATTTGAAAAAACTGCATCCCTTAAAACAAATCACCATGGGTCCACCTGCTTTATCTACTGTCACTTCTGTTTTGACATTTGCCAGTGTGCAGGGAGACGCTGGGCTAGGGTCCTTTCTTCTTCCTTCATCCAAATGCCCTTTGAGAGAATAGTCTGGGAGATTGATGTGTTTTAACAGCTGGGTTGTTATCAGTAGATAAATACTCATTGATATTCAAGTTTACAATGAGAGTAACTAATATCAATTACCATGGAGAAGGGTAATTCCAACTATTTCTTCTGAGACCACCTTATTTCTCTTGTATTAGGTCAAGAAAACATTCTTCTTGCCTTGTCTTAAGTTACATTATGATAATGTTCTGCCATTAACTGTCAAAGAAGAGAACCATGTATTTTTTTGTTCCCTTTAATTCTTAGGATTCCCCTTAGTTGGGCTTAGTCTTAATCTACCCCTTCAAATTTATTGTTCAGAGGAAACCAAGAAACAAACATCAGATTATGTTCAACCTGAGAATTAGTATTCAACTGCTTTGGAGAATGAGATTTTTAGACCATTACCACAAATAGATAAGCATATGTGATTTTTCCCCTAATCTCAATTACACATCTTTTGATTCCTGAATTGCTAGTTTGAACACCATTCTAAATCCTATGTTTAATAAGAGTCTTCATTCTTTCTCTATTGTCTTCTCTTTGGAGTATTGTCCTTTCTGCTAATCTACGTGCATAGCCTGAGGAACGTACAGAAACTGTGGAAGGAATATTGAGAAAAATATGACACTCTATAGCAGTCAGAATGACTGCCATAACAAAATACCAGACTTGGTGGCTTCACAAACCAAAAAATATTTCTCTCAGTTCTGGAGGCTGGAAGATCAAGGTGTTTGAAGGTTTGGTTTCTCCCAAGTCCTCTCTCCTTGGCTTGCAGACAGCCAACTTCTCACTGTAGCCTCACGTGGCCTTTTTCTCTGTACTCGAATTACTCTGGTCTATCTCTTCTTATAAGGACACTAGTGATACTGGGTTAGAGCCCTACCTTTATTACCTCATATATTCTTATTGACCTCTTCAAAGGTTGTATATTCAAACATAGCCACCTAGGGGGTTAGAGCATCAACATATTAATTTAAGGGAACACAATTCAGTTCATAACATGCCTTGAGTACTTTTTCTCATCTACAAATTTGTATACAAAATAAACCATCTAACCATCTACACCATATTAGCTCCACATTTTGTGTAGGCATGACAAAATCTGAATGTCTGTTTTTTAGCAGACTTGGATAGGAGCCCGTCTTATTTGCAACTGAATCATATTTATGTTTGATTATTGCTAACTAGGTGGAAATACTTCAGGGATTTATCCTGAAAGATATAATGTATTTTTGTGTATGTGTGTGTGTCTATGTGTGTGTGTGTGTATGTGTGTGTGTGTGTTTTTTTTCTGGTTTTGATGGCTCGGTAAAGTTATCTACTCTCCTAGCCTGACTTCCTCACAAAGAATGAGCAATATGGATATTATTTAAAGACCTGTCTTTATGTCTGAAAATCTATTCTATTCATTCTTTTAGGTTAAGGTTATTAAAAGGACACTACTCTGAAGGATAGAGCATTTTTAGTCACTTGCCTCTGTGTGTAAATTTTAAATCCTTTCCTTAGTGCATGTATGATGAGTTAGAAAAAGTAATTAGTCATCTTCATAGTTCCTTGAGATTCTATAAAAGGGAAGGGTTTGGATATAACCAAGAAATTAAATCAGAGAGAGAGGGTGAGGGGATTGGTAATAACAGCAATAAAATTGGACAGTGTCTGGTATATAAAAGTCTGAATGAAAAATGAGTGACTCATTGATTGAATTTTATAAAAATTATATCCATTCTCTAATTCCTAATTTAACAAGTGGGCTACAAGACTGTTTTTGAAAATAACTTTTTTAGATGTTTTAATGTTAATACAGACTATGTATAATTCAAGTTTTTTTTCTCTTTCATTACTAGCTCTATAAAAATCAATATATTGTTTAGGGTCAAATTTGTATGATTTTTTAAAAAAAAATCTCTCTTCTTAAAAAAGAAGGCTCACATTCTCAAGTTCTGGTGATTGGCTCCAAATTCTCAACCTATGGCAAGCTTAATCTTAAACTGTCTTCTGTCTACCACGAGTTAAGACAATTAGCAACCATTTAGAGTAATGAAATTAGACAGTACTCAGGATAAATGGATGTCTTTGGTTTGCATGACAAGCTGTGACTTAGTGATGAGCGTGAAAGTTTATGTGCCAGACAGAGGGGATTGTCACCTTGATTTTTTTTTTTTTCTTTTTTGAAGTCTGTCCCAGGCCAGTTCAACTGTTAAATTTCAATTAAACTAAATTTGGTCAGGGAAAAAAAAAAGAAAGATTGGAAATGTAAGTATATTTCTTTTATCTAGCCTGAGCTGTTGGCAAAGCAAACTGGCTTTTCCATACTTGGCATTTATTAATAATATTTTGAATACCATTGCGCTTTTTAAGCTGAGTGTGGTGGAATTCTCTTGTGGGATTATTAAATGAGTCGATTTGCATTCTAATGAGAACAAATGTTTGGGATTGCATTGTTAAAATGCTAAAACGGTGTGTGTATAATTATTTTGCAGCTTAGATTCGCAGAACTCATTTCCCCAAACTCCTTTTTTTAAATAACTAAAGAGTCAGAGCCTACTGACGGCTGGAGGGGAGGTGATTAGGGTAATTTAAACTGTTCACAAATGACTTTGCCACGGAATGAAAGCATTTCTTTGGCTTTGCTCAGCTCCTTTCATTATCTTTAAGCGGCCGCAGTGTTGAGTCCCATAAGAAGTCCCACCAAGCTCTCTTTCCTTGTACAGTTTCTCATTTGTATTGATTAATCATTTTGTAATTCCATTCTAGGTTGACTTGCTCATCTTTAAGGCATTTGCTGCTTTTTCTTTGCTTGTCTATCTTGTAACCGTTATGTTGTCGGTTCTAATACCTTAGCTTTATCACTGCAAGTCAAGCTTTAAAACATTAATCCTTTCATGCTTTAATTTCATATTCTATTACCAGAATGAATGCAAATACTTTCTTTTTCTCCTTTTTAATCATCTTTACTACAGCTTTTGCATATGGGCCAATAGTAAACTAAGCTTTTATTATTTACAGTATAACTTTGTTTTTTAAAACAGTTTTTCAACTCTTCTCTTCATAAATTCTGTTGACAAAATGCAAATGTTTACTGAAAAAATCTGTAGTCTTAGACTTAATTTGTTGTTGCTAATTTTTAATAAAATACATATATATTGTAAGTGGAGATGATTATGGCACTAGTGGTAACAGTAGAAATGTTTCATTATTATAATTTCAAGTATTTGGATTGTTGGCCTTGGCCTGAAGAGTTGATTGTGATGGCAAAGTTTTGGAAAGATGATTATTTTAGATTTCTTGCACATAGAGCTTGAAGTTGGAAAGAGAAACTAGAGGATTATGGTCTATCCTACTCTTTTTTTGTAGAAAATGACTGAATTCTCGAAAAATTAAGTGATTTTTCCCTATGGACAGCAAATAATTCTTTCATGCATGTTTATTTCAAAAAAGTGAATTAAAACAGAATTGTGTTTATATTTTGATGACCAATGCTTTATTAGGCTAAATGATGTTTTATGTTTATTCCATAAGGTAAATATTTACATATGTGTTATATGTAATACAAATACAGTTGTTTGGAAATATGAAAAACGGACATTGCTTTGAAAAATGCAGAAGTGTGAAAATTACGCAGTAAAACGGAATTTTATGATAGTCAGTAATACAATGGAAACAGGTGGCTTCAGTTAAAATGAATGTTAAAATTTGATAATATTCAAATATAAGGAAAAAGCCAATTAATTAATGTGCTGATGGTTATTCCCTGCTTGAGACATTAATTAAAAGCTCATGATAATTGGTGTGAAGACTTTTCATAATTTAAAAATTGGTACTTTTGTTCCAAGTCCAGTTTTGATGGTTTCAAGAACTTAAAAGTTTTACGAATATGGCATATTTAAAAATACTACTATAGTTACAAAAATAGAAAAGCTTAAATTCTCTTATAACCTTAATTTCCTTCTTGGTAGAGCTTCATACTGAGAGATCAGTTAGGATTCATTTGGTTGCAGCTGGTAACTAGAAACATGACTCAGACCAGTTAAAATAGGGAAGTGGATTTTTTTTTTTTTTTAAGCACAAATAGATAAAAGCCCGGAGGTGGCACCAGTTTAAAATATGCATATCTAGGTTGGTGATCCCATCCCAAGACAGCTTCCTCCCTTGGATCACATGGAAAGAAAAATCGGTAACTATTGGGTAAAAACAGAGAAATGGATGCTTGCAAAGAAGTCTAAGTATATGGAATTATAAGTAGAAGTTTTCAGGTTGTAATATGCTACCCAAATTATCATAATAAACATAGAGACAAAAATAGGGGGATCTACTTACTTTATTTCTCACTCTCATATTTCCCCATGTGCTGTCATTATGGGATTCATAGGATGGACTGATGAAGGAAAGAGGGCCTGATAAAATGAATTCAAATGAAATAAATTATTCTGTAATCATTTTATTTTCAGGCTTGAGATTCAAGGCAGATATACATATCACAAACAATATCTCCTCTTGTGTACAGTAAAATTACCAACTTTGTTCTCTACAACTTTGAATCCTTTAATCTTCCTGTGGATGAACAGTTCCCCCCTTCTGCCCCCTAAAGCCTTAGTCTGTCATGACCTTTCATACCTGTTTTGTCTTTAGAAACAGCTTTGTAAATGTCACAAGCTTAGGATTCTTTTTAGAGGCTTTGGGTCTCAGCTCTGTAACCACCGAGTAATCAGATTCGGGTTGGTTGTGGTTCATGATATTTATTGACTGCTAGTTTGGTTTTAGGACCCTAATGCCATAGGTTGAAGTACCATATTGTCCTATCATGAAGGAAAAGTCAAAGACTATGGGTCTTGTTATTTTCTCTCTCTATATATATGTGTTTTAATTCCCTGAATTAGCTATAATCTTAATAGTTTTAACTTTACAAATTTTTTTCTGTTGCCATGGAAGAAAACTAAATAAACATAGGCTTTGTCCAGCCTGCACCAGGATAATATCATCAAAAGATTGAACTCAGAAATGATCAAAACTAGTTCTTCAAATAAAATTGGCAGGAGGGGAAAAATAGATTGCATGTATGCAGGTGCTAGAAAGCTCTCTTAACTTGCAGAGATCATAAAGAAAAAACTAAAAATGGAAGGACTATTGACTGCAGAAATGCAATATTGCAGATGATAATTACATTTCAGAGTAGCTAAGAAAAATTATTATTCCTGAGAATATTAACTTAAGTTTCAAAATAAGTTAAGATTAAATATTTAATAGTACTGATAAACCATGTGATTGCACAGAATGTACAAAAGCCTTCATGGTTAGGAATTTTACACAAGAGTGAGAATCTGTCCATACTGGGCAAAAGTGAAGATTATACTGGAGTAAACACTATTGAAGTTGATTAAGCAGCTCAGCCGTTGCATGAATGCAGAGAAATGTACTGCCCTGAAAATCTTTCTAATTGAGCAGGTGTGTTTTTCAAAAGGTTGTTCATTAAGTGGATTTTATTGTTTGTGTGTGTATGTGTGTGTATGTTTGAATACATACTTTAGGATTGCCAAATGGCTCTTGATATTTTTGTGTTTAAAAATATACATAAATTTCCTGGCAAACATGAAAATCCTGGGGTATTTAGATGGAAATCTACATTTCTGTTTCTTTTGCATCTAAGGGGAAAAATAGAGGAGCAATTTTGTTTTAAAAAATTCATATTATTGTTTTTCCTTTGCTTCAGGGCTTTACGAAAATTGAAATTTTGCCAAAGCAGTGCTAATGAATTTACCAAAATATTAAAGGGAATTCAGAACTCTGACAAGATTGACTTGCAATGGGTATTAATCTTGACAAAGCTTATTTCTGTAGTTGTAATAAATGTAATTATTCACAAATATATTCATTGTGCTTTTCTGTTTTAAAAAATTTCTCTTTGCTTCTTTCTCCCCAAGATTAAAATGCTTGGTAACACTATAAAGGTGTTTAGCTAGTTTAGGAATATACTACCCTTCTGTAAGACATGGAAAAATAAAGCTTCAGTGAAAACAAATAAATGAATACACTTAGGAAAAATTAATCCCAAGTGGTTTTATAAGTTACTGGGCTCAAAATTACAAACTATGAACTACGAGGGGATTTTAAAAGCCATTGTGAACCACTGGCACAATGTTCTACTTTAGGCAAAAGCCAAAAAATATACGCAGCATATTGAAAGTAAAACAGAAAAATCAAAACCATATATTTTTCCATTGCTTTTATGCTTTAAAATTTTGAGAATACTTTGACATATATTCTTTTAATATGATCACAAAATTTTCCTGTGTTTAAAATTTATGAATGTTTGTCATTTTACAGATTAAGAAACAAAGGTATAATGATATTAAGTTACTATGCGAAACCACATAGACTGTCATAGGTTGATCCAACACTTGAACACATGTTTCTGTGCCATTTCTATTGTACTGAACTGTTTCCCAGATTGTCATAATCATGGCAGATCAGATTAAAGGCACAATCAATCTAAAGAAAGTGTAGAAAACACAACAAAAAGATCTGGGAATTGACAAGGGATATTGTAAATGTCTAGCATCATGTATTAATCAATTGGTAAATAAATGTGTATCAAATCCTAAATTAGGTACATGATGTAAATAAATGAATAAATAAATAAGGACATAGGATTACCCCTTATATAACTCATGAATAATTAGGAAGAAAAACCATGTGTAATAGAAAAACAGTTCAAGAGATTTGGCTGTAAGAGTTTGAGAGTAGAACCTTGGGAGAGATAAAATGATTTACAGCATAATTGTGCTGTCCATTACGGTAATCATTAGTCAAATGCAATTATTGAACACTTGAAATGTGGCTAATGTAAATTTAGATGTGTTGTGAGTATTAAATACACAGCAGATTTTAAAAACAGTATGGAAAAATCATCTAATATCTTAATTTCATATGGAGGCACGTTAAAATATTAATATTTTGGACTTATTGGGTTAAAATATATCATTAAAATTATTTTTGCCTCTTTTAAAACTTTTTTTTTAACATAACTACTAGAAAATTTAAAATGGTATATGTGGTTCACATTTTAACCTTATTAGGCAGAGGCTGAAATAGAAAACTGAACTCCCAGAGCTGCTGGAAAGTTATGAGGCAAGAAGCAGATCTTGGACGAGGAGAAAGGTGAGGAGTGGAGTCAATAGAATATTAGAAGACTCTTCCATGATGTCTTTCATAGCTCTAAATCTTCAATTCAGACTACTAACCACAAAACTTTTTATGTAAAAAGAAAAAAACAGTACTTCCACCTAGGGGCATGATATAACTTTATGAAGAAGATGGCATTGTAACTTGCTCTTAAAGAAGGGTTTGGATATACCATCCAAATTCCTTCTCAGTATTTTATGCATGTTATTCACAATTTTTCACAGCAACTTCATTATTTCCACATAAAGATGATATAAGGACTCAGAAATGGCCTTTCATGAATTTTTGAAAGAGTGCATTCTACATATCATTGACAAAGTTTACTCAGAGGAGAAGGCTTAGGTAGAATGAATAGTTCAAGTTATTAGAGGGAAGAGATTATAAATTAGTGTTCAATATGGAAAAATAAATTTGAGACAGATTTTGGAAAGTCTACAATAGTAATGAATTTAGATGAGGGATATAGGATTGTATGGCAGCAATGTTAAAATAATAATACAATAATATCTGGTTATATGTTTATAAAAAATAAGTTAATAATGTGGACCTGTTTTGTGATTTCTAGGCAAATTTAATAGTAAAGCAATAACAAAATTGCAACAATAACTAAAAGGAGATGAGTCTTCTTATGCCTCATCTATCTTTAGGAAATTCTGAAAGGATTACTTTTACAATGAATGGGACATTCTTCCATAGTTTCTCAGATTTCCTAGTTCTAACCAGCACAGATAACTTTTCTTCACTTCTGTACCCTGTTGAAATACCACGTCACAAAACCTGACTTCTGACTTCCTAAGCAGCTGCTGAGGAGCTAGATGAAACCAGCTGGATATAGAAGGCAAATGAGAAACAGGAGACTAAAGATCTCCACGCAGATAAATTTTCCTTCCTTTCTCTCCTCCGTGTGCAGCTTCCAGATATGATTCTTGCTGCAGTGAGCCCAGTGAAGTCCCACATGCAGAGCAAACACAGGGCCTGCGCACCCTTTGCTATCTCTGAGGCCCCTTGGGAAGCAGCAGGCATCTCAGTAACAGACTCATGCTTTTCCTCCCCTCACCCTCTCCACCCTGGGCTTACCCCTTCCAAAGAGATTACACCACTTTAATTTTTGATTCACTGTGTTAATTTTTGCTTTTTTTAGAGGACTCTAGCTAAGAAAGACAGGGATATTGAAAAATGTGATTAGGTCAAAAGGAGGGCAGAAACAGTCATATTTTGTCAGTGCTCTCTTTGTTCCAGAAATTCTTTTAAAGAATTTTATGCAAATTATCTTTGGTAATCCTTCAGAGCAACTCCACTATTTCCATATACACATGAAGATTTAAAAACTCAGAAATGATATGTATCTTACTCAAGATTAAACAGATAGTATGGGAGAGAAGGAAGGCTTCAAGAGTTTCACCTTACATTGATTAATGTCATAGAAGTGGCAGAAGAAATAAAGGGTCAGAGAGGTAAAGTTACCACTTTGATCCAAACAAATGTAAATAGGAGTAGAAAAGGATTTCAAAGCTGGACAAGACTACCTCCAAAGATTGAGGTCTCAACTGTTGTGTCTTACTCCTCTTTCCAGTATAAAGATGGAAGATTAGGAAATCTTTAAAAGGGATTAAGATGATTAAAATATATATATGCCCAGCAGTGGGATTGTATGCATGTATCAAAATATCAAGTGTACCCCATAAATGTGTACAATTAGTATGGATGAATAAAAAAAAATTTTAAAAGGTGATTGGGATGCCTAAATAGGAGAACGGATAACTTCAAGAGACAAAGGAGTTTAAAAATATTTGAAGCTGTGTGTAATGGGGAAAGTCACCTTAGACTTGACCTATGCAACTCCAGTGAAACAGAGAAAAAGCAAAAAGACAAATTTTGGTTCACTGTAAGGAAAACCTTTCTGAAAGTTAGAACAACTTAAAAATGTCAAAGGCTTGTAATTTTTCCATGATTTTTAGGGGAATGGGAGGGATCAAATTGGATCTGGAAAATTTTAGATAGACCATGCTATGGAGAAAGTATTGGCATCAATTATCTTTATGGTAATATTTTCTAACATAGAGATTACATGATTTTGTGTTTTTTCATTTGACTAATATTTGAGTGCACTAAAATTTTAAAAGCAAGACATTATAAACAGTTACTATGAACAGATACCATGACCATTTGCCCCCACATTTCGGCTAGGGAAGGAGTTCCTTTTAATCATGCAAATGAATACTAGAAAATAAGCATCTCATTCACAGTGTCAGGAGTTTTTAACCTTAAACTAATACAGTTCCCACATCATTGTATGACTGTTTTGGAAAACATTAATTCTTCATTTGAAAAAATAATTGTATAAAGGTCAAGGCAAGGTTTTCATGCTTGACAAAGAATGTGTTTTGGTCAACTTTAACCCAATAGTTGGCCTCTGTTACCAAGAGTATTATTTATAAAACTTCAATGAGAAGTGGAACATATATTAGTCTTTGAATAGGTGGTAAAAATATCCACGGAGCAAATGTAGCATTTACTGTAAATGCAATCTTCAAAGGTAGAGTGTTAATCTATTTTATTATGAAAGATATCTTATAGTTCTCATAATAAAGAAAAAATTCTAATTGTCAATCTCAACAAATCTTCTGTATACCCCCCAAAGAAGTTAAGGTCTGTTCAATAATAATTACTTTCCATGTCACATAAAAACTTGAGATTTTGTAAAGCTGGCTATTCTCAGAGAAGCAGAATCCATTCAAAGAGATGTTCCAAGACACTCATCCAGTAGGAGAGAAAAATTCAGGATTGGAAATACACACACACACACACACACACACACACACACATACACTCAGTTTAATTTTAAATTTCAGTTTAATTATCTTTCTTTAGTCTTTCTGGAAGAGCAATAAAAACAATCATAGCCTTATCCTACAAGTTGTAGCCATCTCCTCTGTTTTTTAGTCCAAATGATTCAAATACATAATGAAAAGGCCATATTTTTCCCACAAAGGGATTACTTGTTTCTATTAAATAAATCTTCTAATTTTTTTTCCAACCCCTCCCTGATGAGCGTCTATTATTACTACTTGCTCAAACTGGGATGCTTTTCTTCCAGTCCTCACTTTCAGTTGATAGGGCACCATAGTTTACCACCTACATTCCCTTTCCCATGGATGTGATAACCAGAGTGAAATGAACAGGAAATCCTATCTTGGGCGTTTCCTTCCAGTTTCTCCGAGTGTGTTGTTGCAGTAGCTGTTATATTATCTACCTGCCATACCAACATAATTCTGGTTGGTTGGTCTTGCTTGTAATGTAGCAAGATTGCCATGCAAGCCAGGTTATTGTTCAGTTGCTGAAGGCAGTTTCTGAGTTGTTTTTACTGTCTCATGGAGATCTCTTTGTGCAGAGATTTCTTTTTTCTTTTCTTTGTGTGTGTGTGTGTGTGTGTGTGTGTGTGTGACAGAGTTTCACTCTTGTTTCCCAGGCTGGAGTGCAATGGTGTGATCTCGGCTCACTGCAACCTCTGCCTCCCGGATTCAAGGGATTCTCCTGCCTCAGCCTCCTGAGTAGCTGGGATTACAGATATGCACCACCACACCCAGCTAATTTTGTATTTTTAGTAGCGACAGGGTTTCTCCATGTTGGTCAGGCTGGTCTCAAACTCCCAGTCTCAGGTGATCCACCCACCTTGGCCTATCAAAGTACTGGGATTATAGGTGTGAGCCACTGTGCCCGCCTTGTGCAGAAATTTCTATAGCCAAGAAAATATAAGAGACAGCCATAGGCTGATGAGTAGATTTCCATGTTGAGTTATCTTGATTGTGAGTCAAGTTTTATAAAATATATGGACTTTCAAGTAAATATTTCCATAATGTAAAGTGCTGTTTTTAGCAGGTTGTGGATCACAGAGAAATTCTCCCATCCTGATTTTTGCTCAAGAAATTAATATGAAAGCTACGATGCTTTCCCATAATGTCTTCATAGTCTATTTGAAATATATTTAAAATTCTATTATTCAAAGATAATGATAGTGGGTGCTCACATTTTGTTCCAGAGCACATGTTTGGTATTCTAGTAGAGGATAAAAGTTGAAAGGAAATGAGTTTGTTGGACTAGGTGACCTGAGTGTAGTATAATCCTGATCAAACTAAAATTTTGGAAACTCATTCAGAAAATAAAATTTATTTTACCTAGCTTATGTTATGTTATGAAGAAAGTGATAGTAACTTAAAGATAAGAATGCTCTCTATGGTAGGCAGCATTTTGGTTTCTATGATCTCTCCCACTTGCCCCCTGCTTTGATTTGGATTTGTGTCACCACCCAAATCTCATGTCAAATTGTAATCCTCGGTGTTGGAGGAGGAGCCTGCTGGGAGGTGATTTGATCATGGGGGTGGATTTCCCCCCTTGCTGTTCTCCTGATAGTGAGTTCTCACAAGATCTGGTTCTTTTCCTCCTATTCTGGCCATGTAAGACATTCCTGCTTCCCCTTTGCTTTCCATCTGACATGATTGTAAGTTTCCTGAGGCCGTGCTTCCTGTACAGCCTGTGAAACTGTGAGTCAATTAAACCTCTTTTCTTTGTAAATTACCCAGCCTGAGGTAGTTCTTTATAGCAATGTGAGAACAGACTGATACATCCCCACCACTCCACTCTGCATTGTGCCTGTGCGTGTTACCTTCTGTGGCAAAAGGGAGTTGGCAGATGGAATGAACGTATTGGGCACCTTGGTGTAGGGAGATGATCCTGGATGATTCAGGTGAGCCAGTCTAATTAAATGGGCCTGTAAAGGCATAGCAAAGAGGAAGAAGAGTCAGAGGCAGAAGAGTCAAAGTGTGTGTGCGCACGGCTGTGTTAGAGAAGTGTACAATGAAGAGGACTCAACTTGCTGTTACTGGCTTTGGAGATGGAGAAAGGAGGCCATGAGCCAAAAGATGCAGGAGACCTCTAAAGTTGAGAAAGGCCCTCGGTTGACAGCCCACAAAGAACTGGGACCTCAGTACCACAGCTGCGTGGAACTGAATTCTGCCAGCAACCTGAATGAGCAAGTAAATGGATTCTTCACTAGAACCTCCAGAAAGAAACATGGACCTGCCATAACCTTGATTTCTGCCTTGTGAGACTTGAAGGAGAGACCCTGCTAAACCAGCTGGGCTTCTGACCTATGGAAACTGTGAGATAATTAATGGAGTTTGTTTTAAGATGCTAAATTTGTGGTGATTTGTTAAGGCAATGATAAAACTCTAATGCACTCACCTACAGTTTTAGGCAGTTACCTCACCACTCCTATACTTAAACCATGTGTGTTTTGGGTGTGTATTGGAGTTTCAGTAAACTCAGACGTTGTAGTGCTGATTTCTTGAGCGTGTTCCTGGGATTGGAGGGAGAATTTCTATGACTTATTTTATAATTTGGATTACAATTGGAAATCTGTTGTCCTATTTGAAGCATTTTATTAGACCATTTTTTATTAGACTATTTTGAAGATGGAGAAAACCAGTCATATGATCTTCTTCATTGTATCCCGATTTCACAGGTCATGATCCTTCAACATTTAAGCAGATGCACCTAAATTGCCAACATTTGATTTCATATCAAACAGGATAATAGCAAAGAAAATACGCTAAAATAATGTTCTTAATTTGTTTTATTCAGACTTACTGCATACACATTTACGAAGACATTACTTTTAGGATGTTGGATGTATTGTCATAAAATTATTAGCCACACATAAATATTTATAGATCTTATTAGAATTCACTAATCTTCTCACTATTAGCCAGCAACTTCAGCTGAAAATTTCCATAACAATTAGTATTGTTAATGCAAAGTGCTGTGCCTATTTTTGCCGAAACGGGTGTCTTTTACATGAATTTGCCACCATTTTAGATGTCTTTGCATCTAAAATGAAATGAGGAAAACCATATCTGTTATTAAACTGTGCCTGTCTTTGTTTAGAGCTACTGCTATGAGCCAGAAATCTTGGAAAAGTTTTTCTGCATATCCCCAGCATGTTACTGAAGAGTTTCTTACTACCCTGAAGACAGATATTTCTTCCTCATCTATTGGGAGACTCCAGGAGTCAGTCTTAAGAAGGTCTTATTGTGTGCATAGCCTCATGCCCCTGCCCACATTGATAACTCACCAAGGGGTTGAGATTTTATAATTCAGCCTGATTAGGCTGTTATCCATCACATCATTACATAAAACCCTACTATAATGGTACACATTCAACTAAAGCATCAACACAATCTAGATTTAAAGAATGAGTTAAGTAAGACAAAAAAAAAAAAGGGAAAAAAATAGCACATTTCCCCCCATACTCTGTAAACAGCATTTTGGTTCAGACATGTATCTCATTAGCAAACTACCTGAAAACAATAGGCTATAATGAGATCAGTCAGCAGCTTCATATTACAACATAGCTTGGGGGGCCCTGTTCTTTTGGTAAGGAGTGTATTTTTTACAGAAAAAAAATGTGTATCAAGTTAGTATCTCAGTGACAAACCAGTGCTAACTAGCACATGTCTGCATGTCACCAGAGGTGGCTGTGCCTGACATTTCCTGGAGGACAGCCTATAGTTAAGTAGTATTGAAAGGCACCACAGGCATTATAGCAAATGTATAGGGGACAATGAGCAACAATGGGGCAAAAAGCAAGCTATTTGAGCTAATGGCTGATGCTGTGTTCACAGTATTATATTTGTGCCATTCATATCACTATGGCTAAGGTTGTGTCTGTTTTCATAATAGAGCTACTACTTTAGAGGTTTATAACCTGGCAATAAAAATTAGCTTCCGGCAAGAACTTGACATACAAGACAAGACCTCAGCAAGAAAGTGATTTTTGAGAAATCAGATTTTGTTCGGGGGGAGCAGGTATGGAATATGTTCTGTTGTTTTAGACATTCATTTGAGTTTCTGAAACTCAATACAGCTCAGATTTGGAAAATGGCATTTTGTAAGTTATTAGACTATAAAAAAAATCAAACTTGTGAAAGTCTGGGTCAAACAATGCTTATTTTTGAGGGCTTAGCTCAGAACATTTTTATCTTTCAAAATGTTCTTTGTAGACTTTTCAAAGTAGGAGCATTTTTAATGATTCACAGTTCTTTATTTTGATATATAGAAAGGCACAGTTGTGTGAAGATCAAGAAGTTAAAAGGAGTTTATTTTTAGAAGGTAATACATTACGGTATGTTGCTTTTTTTGAAGTTAAACTCCTTATTAACACCTATTCATTAATACTATTATTAAATGTAATAGATTCATTGCATCTAAACATTGGAAGAAATCCAAATTCCACAGAGCTGAAAGCATATCACTCCTACCACAACCGTCACCTTCAGCTGTTTATTTAATTTTTACTTTTTGCCTAGCAGTGCACCAGAATCTTGCATGCACTAATTTAACATCCATTATTTGACCTCAATACTCTTTAATGCTTGTGTTGTCATAGATAGACACATACATAAAGAAGAAATAAAGTAAAAAGGAACAAAATTTCCAAATACATATTCCATTGCACACAAAAATTAATAATCATTTAAGCTTGACCTTTTAGAACCTTTATTTTAAATATTTACAGTAGGCATGCGGGTCATCCAGTTATAGTGAGAATTGAGTTGCAGAGTAGGAGAGAAGAGAAAATTGTTGAGAAATTTTGAAAAAAAAAAAAGGGGGGCGGGGGATAAAGCCAAAATGGAAGAGAGGTAAGGATATTAGCAAAGGAGCAATTCTCAAATATAGATGTAGATGGTGATTTTTATGATATTGTCAATTATTAACATATTAATAATGAATATTATTTTACTGGTGACCAATTTGTACTAGACATTGAAGCTGCTTTATAGGCAGGACAGGACAGCTATTGATAAATAATTGCTCTCTTCTTACAAATAATACAATTGCATATTTTTCCATAGACAATGGCAGTCTAGATTCAAAGTAGAGTGTAGAATAGCAACAGATTTATCAACTTAAATTTGGATACCTATACTATTTAAATACCTATGCATTTCTCAAAGGGAATGAAGGAACTAGAGTAAGCTTCAGGAAGCCAGACCCCTGAGTTTTCAGTCAAATGAATGAAAGTTGTCTTACAGCCTTCAAAAAGCACATAGTCTCTGTTGTATGAAAAGGTGGCAATGTTGTCACGTTGACTCAGTTGGGTTTAAATAACAAATATCTATCATTCCAGCTCATGTTAGTATAAAATGTTTTTAAAATAATACAATCTTTCACAAGCAGAATTGAAGAACTGTTATGGAAGTAAAAAAAATTAGATTTCCTTTCATATTTATCCAGAGTTGTAACGAAGGCTTGACTAAATTAGAGAAAGCACATTTGTAAATTGTTTTCATAAAAGAGGTAGAATTATCACTGAGGCTACAAAACTTTTTTTTTTTTTTCGTTAACGAATGCCATATCTTACCTTACTTTAAACTCTTCTACTGTGTAAGCCTTTCGGTGTGACTCTTTGTTTAATACTGGATCTCACATCAGAGACTTGACAAGTTGAGAGGTGAGTTATCTGGAGCAAAAAAATTAAGCTTGTCAGAGGCAGTCCTCCCACACAGAATTAAGATAAGATGATCTCAAATTCTTAAGTTCTCAAGGTAATAGTTCTAAAGAGATATTTTTATCCGTACCATCAATACTGAGTAGATTGTGGAAAAAAAATAATTTTTGCCTCTCATGTTTGAAAGTCACTGTTTTTACAGAGTTTCTTTAATTTTCTTTTTCTTTTTTTGGCTGAACTTTTCTTAGAACAGTGCACTGCTGGGATGCACAGTTATTAGAAAGTAGGAGGCTATGGAAGATAGAAATTTTTCATTTTTAACCATCAATAGTGCTAGAGAAGTAAATGTATATATTATAACAGAGTTTGAGAAGAGTGGGAAATTTATTTTTAAATGAGTTGCATGTAAAAGTGCAAAAGCAATAAAAGCTCATCTCCAAAGTTCAGAAATGAGAAAGAAATTTAAACCCATAGTAGTGGACCAGATTTGAAGCTGAAAGATGCAGAATCAGTCACTGGCCTAAAATCTGGGTTCTCATCATCAACATGTACAATTTTTATGTATCCATTTGAAAAATTTAATAAATAAAAAAAAACCTGTGCAGAAAAAATACGCACTGTGCATAGCAGAGAACTGGAACTGGCCTCCTTGCATAAAGGCTCACACAATAGAGGAATTGTCCTTACTGTTAAACAATCACAAAAAGATAATCAGTAGCCATGGGACTGGGCACAAAAGCAAGTAACCCATGCTGGGTCTTGGGTTGTGCTAAAGTGGCCTTGTGACTAAAATTGCAATCCTGCCAGTGGGACCATTACAAATAAAAACTGGTCGTGTGCCAGTAAATCCCTTAGTATCCAGCAATGGCAAATACAAAATCATCCTGGTAAAGAAGCCTATACAGTCCATGGTAGGGAACAGAAAATGGTAGCCAGGATACACAGAAACCCAGTAACTGTATTACAGATTTAAAAGTAAACAAAGAAGAAACCAAAGCAAAAGGTGGGTGCGGCGGCTCACGCCTGTAATCCCAGCACTTTGGGAGGCTGAGGCGGGCAGATCACCTGAGGTCAGGAGTTTGAGACCAGCCTGGCCAACATGGTGAAACCCTGTCTCTACTAAAAAACACAAAAATTTGCCAGGCATGGTGGTGGGTGCCTGTAATCCCAGCTACTCAGGAGGCTGAGGCAGGAGAATCACTTGAACCCAGGAGGAAGAGGTTGCAGTGAGCCGAGATCATGCCACTGCACTCCAGCCCAAGCGACAAGAGCAAGACTCCATCTCAAAGAAAAAAACAAAACAAACGTTAAGTATCAGGAAGACTCTTACCTAAACAATTAATTTATATTATGTGTCTTCCTTTTCCCCTTCTGGAATCCAATTTTCTTCCCAAAAGTTGAGGAAGTGTAAGTAATATAAAGGCCACATCAATTGTAGAAAGGAAGAGCTGCTATGCATGTGCTAATAGTAATAATGATTAACAATTGCCATATATAGTAAAAACAGTATAAAATTAAAGACCAATTTTTTTAAAAATAAGAAACTACCAAGTCTCACTCAAGAAGAAAAAAGAGAAAAATATCTACAGGTCCAGATGAATTCACTGGCAAATTATCTCACACATTTAAAGAAGGAGTAAGAGCATTCTATCTAAACAGTTCCAAAAAAAATTTAAAGAACAAAGTATGATCCCCAAATCACTCTGTAAGGCCTGAATATACCCTGATACCAAATCTAATCAAGAGCATAACAGGAAAACTATCGAGGTATCTTTATGAACATAGATGTAAAAATTCAAATACATTTTTATCAAATTCTGACAGAAATACGAAGAATAATACATTATGATCAAGTGTTGCCAAGAATGTGAAGTTGGTTTAACATTGAAAAATCAATGTAATTTTAACTAAAAAAAAAAAAAAAAATTCTATATGACCTAAGCTAAAATAAAAATCGTAAAAAAGTAAGTAATTTCCTGGAAAATAAGTAGCAAGCCAAGAATGTCTGTTTTCACTTCTTATATTAGCATTTCTTTATTTAGTCTATCCTATTAAATAGGGCACTAAAAGACACCCAGACTAGAAAGGAAGAATCAATTGTCTTTTACTGAAGATGACTTGGTCATCTATGCCAGTAAATTCTACAGAATATAAGAAGAAGAACTACCTATCACAAGTTTGGTAAAATTGTAGAAAATAAGATAGTGATACATAAATCAATGAAATGTATATGTACTGGACACAAACAATTGGAAAATAAAATTTAAAATAGCATTTAAAATAGAATCAAATATATCAAATAGGGATGAATTGAAAAAAACAGATGGGTAAAACCTGTACATTAAAAACTCAAAAATGAAAAGTTAAAAAATTAAAAGTGAGATGCTCCATAATGCATTGGAAGACTCAGTTATTAGGATATCAACCACCTCCACATTCATCTATAGATTCACTTCTAGTCAAGATCACAGTAGTTGTTGCTGTGTTTTTTAGAAATTGACAAGATAATTCTAAAATTTTCAGGGAAACACAAAGGACATACCCAGAAGGAATCTGAAGAGAGAGAAAAAAAGTCTTATTATAAACCTATAGTAACCAAGATAGTGTGTTATTGGCATAAAGGTAGACAAATGTTTGCAACAGAATAAAGAGAGCAAAAACAAAACTCACACATATATGATCAACTGAATTTCAGCAGAAGTGTCAAAGCAATTTAAGGGGAAAGAATAATCTTTTCAGTAAATGATGCTGAAACAATTTGCTTTCTATATGTAAAAACAAAAAGGAAGAACAAAAATACACAATAACCTCAAAGCTTGTCTCATATACCATATGCAGATTTAACTCCAAATGGCTCAAAGATGTAAGCATAAAACCCCAAATTAATATAGACCTAAATGTACAACAAAAACAAAAAATATAAAGCACCTATGTAACAAGAAATAAAAAATGATCAGGAAAATGACAAATGATGAAATGTGAATTGTCCATATACTACAAACAGATTTTTGATAATATGAAGTTTTAATAGTTTAAGGTAAAATGTAGTACTATCAGTAAACTAATGAGCAAAGGCATCGTTCTGGACAAAATAAATTATGAATGGCTAATAAGCCAGTGAAAACAAGTTCATTCTCTTTTTTGGCAATATCTCACCTCTAGGTATCTATTTGTAAGAATAAGCAGGTATGTGCGTAACGAATCATGTGAAAAGTTAGATAAAAACTAGATATCTAGGCCAGGCACGGTGGCTCACGCTTGTAAACCCAGCACTTTGGGAGGCAGAGGTAGGCGGATCACGAGGTCAGGAGATGGAGACCATCTTGGCTAACAGAGTGAAACCCCATCTCTACTGAAAATACAAAAATATTAGCCAGGCGTGGTGGCGGGCACCTGTATTTCCAGCTACTGGGGAGGCTGAGGCAGGAGAATGGCGTGAACCCATGAGCTTGCCGTGAGCGGAGATCGTGCCACTGCACTCCAGCCTGGGCGACAGAGCGAGACTCCGTCTCAAAAGAAACAACCAAAAAAAAAATACTAAACATCTAAACTTATGAAATTAGTTAAATTGTGTAGCATCTATGCAATGGAATACGATAATAAAATAGCAAAAATATATCCAAAGAGACAGGAAATGCTGGTAACTATATTTAGGTTTTTAAAAATATAGGACTCTGTTTTGGTATTGTTACCAAACGTAGCTTTACTTTTTTTTCTTTTTT